>NC_000002.12:30728626-30881376 GCF_000001405.40 Homo sapiens | reverse complement strand
CTGGAGATTTTAAAAAGAGAGAGAGATTGAGATTAAGACAAACCCCGGCCATTGAAGAGTCAATTCAGGTGAGGAATTATGAAGCTCCCAGAGGCATTTTATGACAGAGGCTTGCCTGAGGTCATGCCCATCAGACAGAGCTGAGCCCCATGCCCCTGACCTAGCTGGGGGCTCCTCCCACAAAGCCTTGGCTGCCTCACATGGTTACTCAGAGACCTCTTCCTATGGACATCTAGGCATCTTGGTGGGTCTTGCATCAAGAGGTGGGCCGGGACTTCAGAGGAAGCCAGACAAAGGCAGCAAAGTCAGAGATCAGGGTTCGAGCCCACCAAGACCCTTGACTAGCACTTTGGACTGTTCTCTGTCCTCCTCCACACCCTGTGGGGGTCCCTTATCTCTTCCAGGTGCAGAGCAAAGTCTACTTTAAGATGGCTGCGTGGGACCAGGGACATTTCAGCCAGATGCTGTGACTCTTCAGCCAAAGAGCATGGCTTTATTTCCAAGTGGCTGCGGGTCTGGGCTTTCACTCTGTCTGCCCTGAAGCCTTCCTGATTACTAGTCTCAGGGGAAGACTGTGATTACCCTGCTCCTCCTCTGTGGAGAGAGGGGAAGATGGTGGAGAAAAGCCATGTTTCTGTGCTCACCTGATAACACACCAGAGACAAGTTTGGGGGCGGGAGAGATATTAACACTCCCAGCAGGAAAATAAACCTGAGGAATGTCCAACTCCTTTCCTGTGGAGCAGCCTCCTGAGGAAGAGGGCTAAGGACTTGGGAGCTCGGGGCCTGATCCTTACTCACCTCCATATTCTTGTACCTAGCATAAGACCCAGAAATGGCACCTGACAACAAGAGATCCCAAATAAATGTGAGGAAATGAAATCGACATCAAGCCAGCATAGCCAGATTCACATTAAATGTGTTCTGGAAAAGTTGGATCTAATTAAAATTTTGCACATCAAATAATATTTTAATGGCAGCAAGGGAGCTCACTGCTTAAAGGAACCCTATGAGGAATCTTACTGTAGACAGAATTACCCCCTTCCTCATCCTTTAGTTTTTAATTTTCTATTTTCATAAACTAGGTTATGTTCATCCCAAGCCTGTGCACATTCTTTAGTTCTTTCAGATGTAATATCTCCTCAGCGCCGCAAAGGATCTTATTAGACCCTGAGATCTTGGTCTATATATTTGGAGACTCTCAAGATGACCTTTAACTCCTTTTTTTCTTTGTCTGAGAAAACACATGTTTATGGCCCTCTGGTCCATAGAGGAGTCTTGTTTGATCTCTACTCAGCAGGAATGGGTGGCATCTTGGAACCAACCAAATACCTATGGGATGTGAACTGATGAGCACAGTGCCAGGATAACTATGCACACATCAGGCTGCCATGCTTATCAGGACCCATGGTTGGCTACGCTGTTCCTCAAGGAGACTTTCCTTTGTTGGTTGCCCCTCTCTGAACCTCTCCTACTCATTTGGTGGCTCTGACTTTCTCATCCCACACAGGCCTCCCCAGGGCCTTATAGTTCAGACAGCTGGGCAAATAGGAAGAAAATCTGTGCCTAGGGTTCCAGCCCCTAAGGATTTACTGCCCAGCACCCCAGGGACCAGCCCCACTCTGGGTGCAAAGAAACATGGTGGCCTCATGACTAGATTGTCCTCCAGAGTCCCCAGTCTCACTGTGTGTGGCTCATTGGAAGACACTTGTAAAGAAAGTCAGATTCAGATTCAGATATTAGGATGTGTTGAACTCCTTTTATAAGCCAGGTTCTCTGTCAGGTGCATTTGTGTATGTAAAAATGCATGACATCATGGGTAACATAGGCCAGAAATTGAATCCAACATTCACCTTTCTAGCTGTGTTATATTAAGCAAGTTGTTTTCTACTGCCAAAATATTTCTGTATGACAGACCATCTGAAGTTTAGCAGTAAATTTTAGTTAAAGCGGTAACTTTATTATTGCCCCAGAGAGCAAATACAAACTCTAGTGGTTAGAGAAATTCAGCCCCAAGCTCTCTGCTTCCTCTTCTCTCTCATATATCTGTGCAGGGCTGCTACTTCCACCCATATTCACATCTCTTCCCCTGGTAAAATGTGCAGCACCTAAAGCCAAGAATCCTTCACCTCTGTTCTCCACTTTTGGATAGGTCAGAACTTGAGAAAGAATTCAGATTCAATGTTTATCGAGCTCTTCCTCTGTGCCACTTGTTGTGCTAGACATTTCATTTCCTTCATTCTATCCACAGAACAACACTCCGTTATTGTGACTATTTTAAAGCTGGAGAAACTGATTCCTATAGATTGACTATGATGTGGAAGAACCTAGATTAAAATCCAGGCCTCCCGACGCCCTAGTCAGCGATCCTTGTTCTATATACACTGTGGTGAGTATGTTTGGGCCAAAATAGTGGGTACCACATTGCAGTAGGAAAACTAGCCTAAGCAAACTGCTCTGGAGACAGGGATGGTGGTGTCATGTGTATCCATCCATGAGGACACTACAAGGTCTAAATACAGATGTTTACACAATAGTGTGTAGGTAGACACCACCTTGAAGTGATTTTTAACTCCATATTTATGTTCATGATTTATGTGCAAATGTTCTATTAGGCTATCCTCTGTGTTCTGTTTCAAGCGTGAAATAGAAGCTATTTTACCAGCTAGTTTAAATAGGCTGTGATCAGAACAGACGCAGAAATGAGCTCATCAGCTACAGTTTATAGATTGATAAGAAAATATGAATAGAAAAGATGAATAGAAAGGGTGGAGGATATAAAACAGGCAATTCATAAAAGAAGAAAAAATACTAATGGTGTTACTGAAAGGTGTTTGCTTTCCATGGTAGGGTAGCTTGTTTTAGACTAACCATTCTGCAGGTAGCATTATAAACTCTGGGCAAGCAGACAAAAAAAACCACCCGAAGGCACTGAAAAGTGATTAAAAACAGGCAGAAACCGGAAAAGAAGTAACCCTTGGAAGAAGGAAGCTGGGCAGGTGAGATTCACATTTATACAGCTTTTCACCCAATAGCATCTGTCTTTTATCCCCAGTCTAGGATACACAACATAGAGAGGCTAAAACTCAACCAGAAAGCCACAATTTTATAAGCTTGAGGAGTTAAAGAACAGATTTCAGGCCTGCCAAGAAGATGGAAATTTAGAAGGTAAATCTTGGAAAAGAGGAAGCCAAAAAAGGGCAGAGACCCAAAATATTCTTATAAATCCTGTCCAAATTCTTAATTGACTAGGAGTGCACATGTGTGAGGGAGACTCCAAGCAGCCCAGGTGAAAAGTTTAAAAAACTAGCAGTGAAACCGGTTGATATCCACTTCAAGAAAGAGAGTTTGGAATTTGAACTGAGTCATATTAATTGTATGCTGCAACAAAATTCAATACGTGAGAGAGCAAGATAATAAACCAGAGTTTCTGCAGCATGGCATCCACAGTATCTGAGGTAAAATTAAAGGGTATTAGACATGAAGAAACAGGTATGGGGACACATAGTCAATAGAAAAAATGAAATAAAACAGGCAATGGAAACTGATTCCAGTTGTTGGAATAGCAAAAAAGGACTTAAAACAGTTATTGTAAATCTCTACAGGAACGTAAAAGAAAATATACAGATAATGAATGAAAAGATATGAAACCTCAGCAGACATAAGAGGACTATCTAAAAAAAAAGAACCAAATGGAATATCAGAATAAAAATAGAATAACTGAAATGAGAAACTTACTGGCTGGACTTAATAGAATATTGTAAATTAATTAAGAAAGCTTTAGTAAATTTGAAGTTAGTTCAGTATAAATAATCCATGCTAAAGAATAGGGAGAAAAGGATTGAAAAATATGAACAGAGCCTCAGAAATCTGTAGAATAATATAAAGCAGTGAAACAACATAACACAGTGTGTGTAAATGAAATGCAGAAAAGGAGAAAAAGAATGAGACAAAAATATTTGAAGAAATAATGGCTGAATATTTTCTAAATTTGATACAAACATAAATTTACAGATCCACAAAGCTCAGTGAATCTCAAGCAGACTAAATAAAAAGGAAAATAAAAACTACATCTAGTCACATCATGGTAAAACAAAGATGAAAAGGAAATTTTGAAAGCAGCCAAAGGAAAGTGAAACATTACATATGGGGGAACAAATGTTACGAATGAAGGCTGACTCCTCTGCAGAAACAATGGAGGCCAGAAGACAAATAAACACCATCTTAAAAGTGCTGAAAGGTAAAATTATCAAACCAAACTTCTCTACCAGCAACATAGTCCCTCAAAAATTAAGATGTAAAAATATTTTCGGATCAATGGAATTGAGAGAATTTATCATGAACAAACATGCTACAAAATATGCTAAAGGAAGTGCTGAAGGACAATGACTCACGATGGAAACTTAACTCTGGAGAGGAATAAAGAGCACGAGAGACAGTAAATTGGAGGATAAAGACTTTTTTCCCGATATTGATTCTTCCTATCCATGAGCATGGAATATATTTCCATTTGTATGTGGCCTATCTAGTTTCTTTTAGCAGAGGTTTGTAGTTCTCCTTGAACAGGTCTTTCATTTCCATTGTTAACTGTATTCCTAGGTATTTTATTCTCATAGTAGCAATTCTGAATAGGAGTCCATTCATGATTTGGCTCTCCACTTGCCTGCTGTTGGTGTATAGGAATGCTTGTGACTTCTGCACATTGATTTTGTATCCTGAGACTTTGCTGAAGTTGCTAATCAGCTTAAGAAGCTTTTGGGCTGAGACAATGGGGTTTTCCAGATATAGGATCATGTCATCTGCAAACAAAGACATTTTGACTTTCTCCCTTCCTATTTGAATACATTTCTTTCTCTTGCCTGATTGCCCTGGACAGAGCTTCCAATACTAAGTTGAATAGGAGTGGTGAGAGAGGGCATCCTTGTCTTGTGCCGGTCTTCAAGGCGAATGCTTCCAGCTTTTGCCCATTCAATATTATATTGGCTGTGGATTTGTCATAAATGGCTCTTATTATTTTAGGTATGTTCCTTCAGTACCTACTTTATTGAGAGTTTTTAAGGTGAAGGGATATCAAATTTTATCAAAGGCCTTTTCTGTATCTATTGAGATAATCATGTGGTTTTTATCTTTAGATCTGTTTATGTGATGAATTACATTTATTGATTTGAGTATGTTGAACCAGCCTTGTATCCCAGGAATGAAGCCATCTTGAACATGGCAGATAAGCTTTTTGATGTGCTACTGGATTCAGTTTGCCAGTATTTTATTGAGAATTTTTGCATCAATGTTCATCAGAGATATTGGCCTGAAGTTTTCTTTTGTTGTTGTATCTGCCAGGTTTTGGTTTCAGGATGATGCTGGCCTCATAGAATGAGTTAGGGAGGAGTCCCTCCTTTTCGATTGTTTGGAATAGTTTCAGAAGAAATGGTATCAGCTCCTCTTTGTTTTTTTGGTAGAATTCAGCTGTAAATCCATCTGGTCCTGGGCTTTTTTTGGTTGGTAGGCTATTTATTACTGCCCCAATTTCAGAACTTGTTATTGGTCTATTCAGGGATTCAACTTCTTCCTGGTTCAGTCTTGGGAGGGTGTATGTGTCCAGGAATTTATCCATTTCTTCTAGATTTTCTAATTTATTTGCATAGAGCTGTTTAAAGTATTCTCTGATGGTTGTTTGCATCTGTGGGGTAGGTGGTGATATCCCCTCTAACATTTTTTATTGTGTCTATTTGATTCTTCTCTCTTTTCTTCTTTATTAGTCTAGCTAGCAGCCTATGTATTTTATGAATTTTTTTAAAAAACCAGCTCCTGGATTCATTGATTTTTGGAAGGGTTATTTATGTCTCTATCTCCTTCAGTTCCACTCTGATCTTGGTTATTCATTGTCTTCTGCTAGCTTTGGGGTTTGTTTGCTCTTGGTTTTCCAGTTCTTTTAGTTATGATGCTAGGGTGTCGAATAGAGATATTTCCAGCTTTTTGATGTGGGCATTTAGTGCTATAAATTTCCCTCTTAACACTCTACCAGACTTCAAACTATACTATAAGGCTACTATAACCAAAACAGCATGGTACTGATACAAAAAAAAAGACATATAGACCAATGGAACAGAATAGAGAACGCAGAAATAAGATTGTACATCCACAACCATCTGATCTTTGACAAATCTGACAAAAACAAGCAGTGGAGAAAGGACTCCCTATTCAACAAATGGTGTTGGGATAACTGGCTATCCATTTGCAGAAAATTAAAACTGGACCCCTTTCTCCCACCTTATACAAAAATTAACTCAAGATGGATTAAATGCTTAAATGTAAAACCCCAAACCATAAAAACCCTAGAAGAAAATCTAAGCCAATACCATTCAGGACATAGGCAAGGGCAAAAATTTCACAATGAAATTGCCGAAAGCAATTGCAACAGGAGCAAAAATGGATAAATGGGATCTAATTAAACTAAAGAGCTTCTGCACAGCAAAAGAAACTATCATCAGAGTGAACAGGCAACCTACATAGTGGGAGAAAATTTTTGCAATTTATCCATCCAACAAAAGTCTAATATCCAGAATTTACAAGGAACTCAAACAAATTTACCAGAAATAAACAAACAACCCCATTAAAAATGGGCAAAGGACATGAACAGACACTTCTCAAAAGAAGACATTCATGCAGCCAACAAACATAGGAAAAAAAGTTCAACATCACTCATCATTAGAGAAATGTAAATCAAAACCACAATGAGATACCATCTCACCCGAGTCAGAATGGCCATTATTAAAAAGTCAAGAAACAACAGATGCTGGTGAGGTTGCGGAGAAACAGGAACACTTTTACACTGTGGTGGGTGTGTAAATTAGTTCAACCATTATGGAAGAGGATGTGGCGATTCTTCAAAGAGCTAGAACCAGAAATATCATTTGACCCAGCAATCTCATTACTGGATATATACCCAAGGAATAGAAATCATTCTGTTACAAAGATACATGTGCACATATGTTCTTTGCAGCACTATTCACAATAGCAAGGATATGGAATCAACAGAAATGCCAACAAACTTGATAAATTCGATGAAATGGATGAATTTGTTTGAAAAATATAACTTACCAAAACTGACATCAATGAAATAGAAAATCTGAATAGTTCTTTATCTATTAGAGACATTAAATTTATCCAAAACCTTTCCACAAAAAGTTCAATACAGATGGTTTCACTGTTGAATTTTATCAAAATTAAGACACATATAATGCCAATCTTACACAAATAGAGGAGGAACATGCCCCACTACAATTTTTGAGATCACCATAAGCCTGATACAAAAATCTGACAAAAGTATTGACAAGAAAATAAAATTACAAACCAATATCCCTCATGAACACATATACAAAAATCAAAAACAAATATTAGCAAGTCAAATCCTGCAAAAAAGATAATCCATCATGAGTAAGTAGAGTTTATCCCAGGAATTCAAGATTGTTTCAACATTTGAAAATCAGTGTAATTCACCACATTAACAGAATAAAGAAGAAAACTAATGTGATCATTTTGATAGATGCAGAAAAAATATTTGACAAAATGAAACGCCCAAAATGAAACTTCCTCAATTGAATAAAAGGCATGGTTCAAAAACTTATGGTTCACCTTGTACTTAATAGTGAACATTGGATGCTTATTAAGCAAGCGTGTGTTGCTTACAAAGGGTGCTTTCTCAGTAAAATCCCAGTTGGTCATGGGACAGTTGTTAGGTTAATTATGTAAGATTATGGGAAAAATGTTCTAAATTTATGTTCTCAGGCTACAATGTTTGCCTCCTCCTCAAACTGAAGAAAAATATGGTATGGAAAAATTCCACATAGATGTTATTGGAGAGAAACATTATTCATTGGCCCAGTTAATTTCTGGGAACCACTATATTCAATGAGATTCCTTAACCAGAATATAAAACATGGATGCTTTTTATTCCAGAACATCCACTTCTAGGTTTCTATCCCACAGAAATAGTAATATTTTATACAAAGATGATCATTGCAGCGTTATCTGTAATGGCGAAAAACTGGACATAAACTTAATTTTCTCAGTTGATTGTTGGCAATCCTCCCACCTCAGCCTCCCTAATAGCTGGGAATACAGGTGCACACCACCATGCCTGGCTAGTTCTTTGTACTTTTTGTAGAGAGGGGGTTTTGTAGAGACTCCTGGACTCAAGCAATACACCTGCCTCAGCCTTTCAAAGTGCTGGGATTACAGGTGTGAGCCATTGTGCCTGGCCTCAATTTTCAAAAGGATGATGAGTGTAGGCTTCCTTAAGAAGCAGACATTTGAGCAAACATTTGAAGGAGATGAGGGTGTGAGCTATGCAAACATGTGGGCAAAGAGTGTTCTAAGCAGAAAAATCAGCCCAAGCAAAGACTCTGAGCTCCAGGGAGGGGGCCGGAAGACTGAGGGGAATAAGCAGAGTAGAAGATGAGGTCAGAGAGGGACCAAGGGACCGGGTCTTGGGAGGCCTTTTAAGCCATTGCAAGCTTTGGCTTTTACTCTATGAAATGGGAAGCAATTGAGGGTTGAAGTGTAGGAGTGTCATGATCTGACCTGCATTTTAGGAAGCTCACTCTGGCTCTGACTGAAGATAGGTTAAGGGGAAAGCAGATGCCAATTAGGAGGATATTGCAATAATTCACACATGGACAGAGTCATATTCCCATTTTAAAATCAGGAAAATGAAACTCAACAGGATTATCTGGATTATAATCACATAGCTAATAGGTAGCTGAGTGGGATTTTAATCTAAATCTGTCTGACTCCAAGTCCAGGGCTCTTTTGCCCAGAAAGGAAAATTGGGCTCAGAGTTATGCTGGGGGTTACTTTATCATTACTGTTCTCACACCTGGGGAGCCCTCACCTCTGGCTTCAGGTCATGCCCCAGTCAGCTCTCTCCTTTTGTCTTAGTTTATTTGTGTTGCCATAAAGGAATGCCCGAGGCTGGGTAATGTATAAAGAAAAGAGGTTTATTTAGCTCATGTTCTGCAGACTGTAGGAGAAGCATGGCACCCACATTTGCATTTGCAGAGGGCCTCAGGCTGTCTGCACTCACAGCGGAAGGCAAAGGAGAGCCAGTGTTTGCAGATCACACGGTGAGAGAGGAGGCAAGAGAGACAGGAGGGAGGTGCCAGGCTGTTTTTAACAATCAGTTCTGGCAGGAACTAAAAGAGCAAGAACTCAGTCATGGAAAACACCGCAAAGCCATTCATGAGGGATTAACCCCCGTGACTCAAACACTTCCCATTAGGCCCCACCTACAAAACCGGGGATCCAATTTCAACATGAGAGTTGGAGGGGTCAAGTACCCAAACCATAGCACCTTGCAACTCTCCTGCCCCCACTGTCAGCTGAGCTGTGAAAACAGAACTGAAGTAGGCACTTTACCAGTGTTAGAAACACCATTTGACATCCTAATGTTGGTTTCAAGTATTTTCCAAGCCCTTAAAACAGCCTGGGGTTGCAAGTAACAACCATTGTAGTATAAGCTGGAGAAACTGAGGCACTGTCAAGTCAAGAAGTCACTCCAAAGTCATGCAAGTTGGAGGTGGTACCTCCTTTTTCCCTTCCCCTGGCCCATTTAGCATCTCCCACCTCCTGGTCTGCGCACAAGGTGTTAAACTGACGCTGCACTCAGTCCCCAGTAGCTCAGTTCCCAAAAGGGTGTCTGTGCCCCCAGGCAAGGGTGAGTGCTGCAGCAATCCAACAAAGCTACATTGAGTAATTGTTATTTTCCTGCACAACATCCATCAAGAGACTAGCCCTGGCATTTATCTAGCAGCAAGTGATCATTATCTGGTGGCAATGTTCTTCCCACTGACAGTATCTTCTAAATAAGGGTCAGCCATCCAGCGGTCTGTCTGCTGCTGATTTCTTCCTATAGGATAAACAATATTTAAACTAAGGCAGTGTCGGGGGTGGGGGCACTGTGGGGAGGGGCGCCAGGGGGACAGAGACAGTGGTTAGGGAAGGTGGTTGTTCCACAGTTGAGCCAGAGAATTGGCCTGAGCTTTGATTCCGACAAATACTTGTTGAATGAATGTTTCAGAATATATGAAAGACACAATAACAAAGAGAATCCACATTTCCACTTCAGCAAACCTTCCTACATTAATATAATACACCATGCAGTAAATTAACTGGATGGTGAAGTTTTGAGCATTCTGGAGGTAAAAGAAAAGTCTCTTACATCTCTTGGTCTCTGTTGCTGGTCTTCCTACCCTTAGACCAGAATCTGGAATGGGTTCGAGTGAAGACACTCGAACTGTCATCAAAGTAGCCAAGGTCCTGGCATCAGGAGACCCGGGTGCAAGTTTAGGCTCCCCCACTTTCTGGATTCTGGACCTCAGGCAAGTCTCTAACCTTCCCTGAGCATTGATATGCTCATCTGCGAATGAGAATGATAATAATCCCTTTCTCACAGTATTATTTGAGGATGAATGGAAATAATATATAAGAAAATGCCATTTGGACCATGGGATACTCTCCACATGTAAGTTACTCATGTTCTTGTTCAAGTTTTGGGCATTTTGTTTACGTTGTTAAGGTCGTTTGCTCTGTGCCATTTACCCAGAAGTGAAATTGCTTGCAAGACTCTAAGTCTTGCTGACTTAGAATCTGACCTTCTTTCTGTTGCTTTACCTCTTTTGGTCTTAGATTAAAAACCATAGTCTGAGCAAGGAGTCCATGCATAATAGAGAGTCCTATACGGTCATGACTATCCTGGGCTGCTGGGGACTCAAGAGGAATATATAATTTGGCCTGTGTGGCCTCATGGGTTTTATAAGGTGCACACTTAGAAAAATCGAGCCCAAGAAAAGCCAATGGACAATTCCAAGCAACTCCATAGCTGGACCATATTTATTGAGGGCCTGACGTGCCGAACTGTGCCAGCTGCTTCCACATCATCATGTTATTTAACAATTCTGAGTAGAGCATGCTCTTATTTTACAGCTGGAAAATCTAAAATCTGGAGAGGCTGAATGACTGACTCAAGATCACAAGAGAGTGATGAGGGCTACATCTATTTATTTCCAAATCCAGGGTCCTCTCTCCTCTTCCAATTAGAGTATAACCTGGTGCTTTCACCTTTCAAGAAGTGAATATCTCTGACTCACATCCTAGGCAGCTGAGGCTCTGGGAGGTTCCTGATCATTAAACTTCACTCTGCCCCTAGAGGCCTTGCTACCACTGAGTGTTAGGACTATAGACTCCACTTGAGAGACTTGGCTATTTAAAACCCAGGAGAAAATGCAAATCAAAACCACAAGGAGTTACCATTTCATGGCCATCAGGATGTCTATTGAAAAAAAAAAGAAAGAAAAAATAACAAGTGTCGGTGAGGGATGTGGAGAAATTAGAACCCTCGTCCATTGCTGATAGGAATGTAAAATGTTGCAGCCCCTGTGGAAAAGTTTGGGATTCCTCAGAGTTAAACTTAGTTAACATATGATCCAGCAATTTCACTTCTGGGTATATACCCAAAAGAATTAAGAGCAGGGACTTGAACAGACTTTTATATACCCATGTTCAGAGCAGCATTATTCAACATAACGAAAAAGTGAAAGCAATGTAAGTGCCTATTGATGGATGAATGAATAAGCAAAATGTAGTATTACATACAGTGGAATATTATTCAGCTTTGAAAAGGAAGGACATTTTGACACATTCCACAGCATGGATGAACCTTGAGAACATTATGCTAAGTGTAATAAATTGGACAAAAGAACATATATTGCATGATTTCACTTATGTGAAGTCATGTGAATACTCAAGTAGAGTAGTCAAATTCATAGCGACAGAAAGCAGAATGGAGGTTACCAGGAAATGAAGGAAGGGGAAAATGGGAGTTATTGTTTAATGGATACAGATTCCTGTTTGGAATGATGAAAAGTTCTGGAAATGAATAGTGGTGAGGTTTGCACAACACTGTGAGTGTACTTCATGCCACTAAATTAAACATTTAAAATGGTTAATTTTACATTATGCATATTTTACTATAATTAAAAATAAATATAAAACCCAAAAAATTTCAGAGAAATTCTTCACTTGAAGAAAAGGAGTATGCTAGAGAAAGGTTTCTTTCTCTAGTGACTCCTGGACAATTATAATGCTTGTTTAGAAATAATTAACTGGTCATCAAAGAAGGGGGCAGCCAGAGATTCTCAGGAGATGTCAAGCAAAGAGAAACAGCATGGCAATATTTGTCTTTCTTTCTTCCTTCCTTTCTTTTTTCTTTCTTCCTTCCTTCCTTCCTTCCTTCCTTCCTTCTTTCTTTCTTCCTTCCTTTCTTTCTTTCTCTTTATTTATTTTTTGATGCAGTTTTGCTCTTGTTGCCCAGGCTGGAATGCAATGGTGCGATCTTGGCTCACTGCAACCTCCGCCTCTCCGGTTCAAGCAATTCTCCTGCCTCAGCCTCCCAGGTAGCTGGGATTACAGGTGCCCACAACCACACCTGGCCAATTTTTCTATTTTTAGTAGAGATGGGGTTTTGCCATGTTGGCCAAGCTGGTCTTGAACTCCTGACCTCAGGTGATGTACCCACCTCTGCCTTTCTTTTTTTTTTTTTTTTTTTTTTTTTTGAGACGGAGTCTCGCTCTGTCGCCCAGGCTGGAGTGCAGTGGCGGGATCTCGGCTCACTGCAAGCTCCGCCTCCCGGGTTCACGCCATTCTCCTGCCTCAGCCTCCCAAGTAGCTGGGACTACAGGCGCCCGCCACTACGCCCGGCTAATTTTTTGTATTTTTAGTAGAGACGGGGTTTCACCGTTTTTTAGCCGGGATGGTCTCGATCTCCTGACCTCGTGATCCGCCCGCCTCGGCCTCCCAAAGTGCTGGGATTACAGGCGTGAGCCACCGCGCCCGGCCCCACCTCTGCCTTTCAAAGTGCTGGGATTACAGGCATGAGCCACCGCTCCCAGCCAATATTAATGTAAGTCAATAACAAAAGAGGATTTGACATATAAAAACTTGGTTTCTATGCAACTTTATTTGGAGCCCACCTATTGCCCAATGCAAACAAATCCTTCAGTATTCAAGGGAGTTAAAGAAAACAGTAGAATTTGACCATAGGTCCTTTAAGTCATTCAATGATGAACATTTATGACACATGTTTCTTAGGCTTTTAAAAGGCAATGTTCTGTGCTGATGGTCCACCTGGCTGTAAAGATAATTGTAAAACAAACTCCATATTCCACTGACACCCTTTCTAATTACATCTCACCTTCATTAGGCTATTAAAGTGATAGATAGTAGCAATTACATTGAACCCCACTGAAAACTCTCTATCTGTGATGCGCAGTGACGAGAACATGAGTTATTTACCCAGAAGCCAGGAAAGAGAGGCAGCCAGGCTGAGGCTGCCTCAGCCAAGCTGAAGAAAGAGAAACCCCATGCGACCATCCAGGTGCCTACAGCAATGTCAGGACGCAGAATGGCAGGGTACACACGTGGTTCTTGCTTTCCTACTGGCCTCGCCCGATGCCTAGATGTGAAAAACAGCAACTGTTATCAGGTATTATGTAAACTGACTTAAAACAAGTTTACATATACTCAGAAGAGAGCCTCCAAAATACTGAATTACTCCCAGGCATTTCATATAAGGAATAGTTGAAGGAGTCAAAGAAGTTGAACCTGGAGAAGATAAGACAGGGCAGCAGAGGGTGGCATCTACAGACACTCCGAGATGAATTAGACTTGTTATGGCCCAAGGGGAAATGAGTCAATTACTGCAGACAACAGAAAACCCTACTCTAATTTGTTTAAACAACTAGAACATTTACTAATTTGCATAACTGGCGGTCCAGATGTAGATGGTTGATTCAGGGACTCAATGATATACTCTAGGTCTCAGGTTCTTTTCGTTCCTCTACTCCACTGTGCATAGTACCGGCTTTTTCCTAAATTGGTTACTCTAGAATGCTTATGGCTACTGCCAGCAGCCATAAGGGTAACACATTCTCTTGTTCACTCCCAGTAGGGAAGCAAGAATTGTCTTTCCATGACTCTCAAAAGAATGAGGAAAGATCTTTGAAGCTCTCGGCAAACATCTCTGATCACATCTGACTGACTGGAACTGGGTCACGTGCCCGTTTCTGAGGTAATCATTGTGGTTAGGAGGATGGGATAACTATGGTTGGTGAAGACTGATCGTGACCCAACGTGGAGTTGCTGCAGGTCAGCTTCTGATGAGATCTCATGGGGAAATAGTGGCAGTGGTAACCTGAGCAATATTGGGCTCTGCTGGGAAGGAAGAAAAGGGAACTGATATTTGACAAGACCACCAACAGTAGCTGCTATAGGGAAAAAAAAGAACTAGTAAGTGGGAGCAGAACTGACTCACAGGAAGAGGAGCCTCTAGCACTAGAGGGCAGATATGCTGGGCCTGTTCCACAGCAGTCCCCTAGGATACTAATGGCAGACATACTCATTAATCAATCACTCTCTACCACTGACCCTGGATGCAGCCTCAGAATCCACCTTAACTTAGTCTTCCAGGCAGTCAATAACAATAAATTAGAGACAGGTCTCAAAAGAATCCCTTTCATCCTGCTGCTCGAACAGCTAGGACTGCTCAAAGCATAGAATGGGTAGATTTAGAAGGCAGTAGATAGAATGGGTAGATTTAGAAGGCAGTAGATAGAATGGGTAGATTTAGAAGGCAGTAGATAGAATGGGTAGATTTAGAAGGCAGTAGGTAGAATGGGTAGATTTAGAAGGCAGTAGGAGTTCGGTCACCAGTGGCGTCCAAGCACAGGCTACATGACCTGTGCACAGAGATGCTGTCATGGGGATTTGGTCGCAGGTGAAGGTTGGGACCCAACTAACCGTCCATGAGATTCTGTGGTTTCAGATGGCTTGGGGAGGAAGCTGAGGTTTAAAGCAAGCTTTAGATTCACAATAGAGGAAGTTTTGAGAGCGCTGTCCTAGTCCTTTGCTTTTTCTCCAGGGTCCTGAAAATGCAGATTTCTCACATGGGATATAATACCCTAGGCATTTCCAGTTATCTGCAGCCCTTCTAGTCTCAAAATATCAATGCTTTTGCCTAGGTTTTCATTTGTGCAAACACTTTCATTTTAGCTTTAAAAATTTGATTCTCATTAACACACACACACACAAGAAATAGAGACCATGGTCATTTTACGGTTTCATGAACCTGAAAAGTTGGTTATCTTGCCTAAGATCACACAGCTAAGTGAAAGCCAGGGCTGACACAGGAACTCAGATCCAATCTGCTGTAGCCCGGAACCCTGCTCCGGAAGCACAGGGCTGCAGCACTGAGGTGTCCTCCCTTGGGCATGCACATGACAGAGACACATCCAGCACCGATATGGGCAAGAAGGGCCAAACAGGCCCCAGCATATGAAACACAGTCCTCATGAGCCACGGACCATGCTGACTCCTGCAGGAGGCCTGAGTAGCAGGGTCTCTGGCTGTGGGAGGGTCTTCTATCCTTCCTGGACTTCCCTTGCTCCATCCCCTGCCTCACCTACATGGTCTAAATATGAGATGCTAGCATGGCTAAGATGTTACAGGGCTAAGATAAAATGTGGAGGCAGTTCCTCCAGCTTCTCCCTTCAGAATAGACATTCCAGGTTCACCTGAGCAGACTGCGAGACTCCGTGGCTGCTTCTCTCCTTTGGTTCCCAGAGCCAGGAACCTCACTGGGCCAGAGTGAGAGTAGGGAGTGGCCTGGGATTAGAGCCACATCTCCTGGGCCCATCTACTGAGTGTACTTCCAGCTTATTGCCTGGACACACAGCTTCTATCTCCCTGCTCTGTTTATTCTCTAAGCCATTTTCAGCTTGTAAAAATGTATAAAAGACCAGCAAAGTGTGAAGGAAGCACTTGAAAGGAGTTCTCTGAAAGGAGCTTTTTATCCCCAGTGGCTTCTGACAGCCCAGTTAGCACATTAAGTACCTTCTCTTTGCCGGGCCCAGTGGAAAGCACTGAATGTATATTATGTGGGTGGTTCTTGCTGGCAGCACTGTGCACATTGGTGTGTTTCTATCAACTCTGAGGGATGCTGCTAGAAATGTGGCAGAACCTGTCTTTGTTGTTCACAATGTACAGCACAATCTAAACTTAGTATTCACAAAATAATTAGAAGACAGACCAAACGAATGATTTAACCCATTTTTATAGGTGAGTAAACCAAAGCTTGTGATCCTTACTGGACAGAAAAAGGTATTTAGGAGTTACAGCAGAGGTGGGACTGGAGCTTAGTTCTTCTGCATCCCAGTGTGCAGAAGGGCAAGACTGCAGATCCCAGGTTTGGGGGCAAGACTAGACAATTTCAAAGAGCCCTTTGTGCTCTCTAAAATTTGGAGACTCAGATTCTGAATTAGCAAATTAGTCTGTAGGCCAGCACTGTCCAGCAAAGCTGTCTGTGAAGACGGAAACGTTGCATGCCTGCACAGTCCAATACAGTAGCCACTAGCCGCATATGGCTAACAAGCACTTGGACCATGGCTAGTGTGACCAAGGAGTTGCATTTCCACCATATTGGACAGCACAGCTCTGGTGTTTTCCCTTCCCCAAGGCTCAGCACTGCAACCTCTGCCACGCACTGATGCACTGAAGTTTGCACTCAGCAATGGCACCTGGGGACACTTTCCTATATCCCTTGGTAAAACACACCAGGTTCCCTCAAATACACCACTTATTCTTCAGTGAAATTCTACAGAAGTGGGAGGAAAACAAAATTGAAAGAGCTGAAGCAGAAACACTATTGATTTTTAATCCTTTTTTATCATCCAAGAATTTCAAGGTATATTTCTCATGTCATTCCATTCCTCTCCTGGGAGCTGAGAGAAACTGACCCAGAAGTCTTGGATAGCATCTAGTTGTGAATTAAACACATTCTGAAGAAAATCTCTCTAGTCAACATCATTTTTTCTCAGTGAAATGTTTGGATCTTTAATAACTATTATTTTCCTTTGGGTTCTTGCCAGGAGATGATTTTTTTAAATAGACTAAACCATTAATCTATTAACTAGTAATTTAATTTATAGTCCTTCATTCTTCTAAATTGTTTTCTCATCACATAATAGAACCATGGCACATCTGAGTTGGAAGAGAGCTTAGGCAATTTCCAGGCCATAAAATTGATGGGGATGAAACACTTACTGCTTATTTAAACATGTGCCAACAACTGGAGCATGTTCTTTATAATCATAATTGTAGTTATTACCATGATCCTATGGAGTGGGTAAAATTCTCCCCATCATACAGATGGAAAAGTAGCTGAACTAGAATTTATATGGAGGTCTATCTGGCTGTGAAGCTGAGAAGACTCTTCTGTTCTCTAAGCTTACTAGTTATTTCACAGACAAGGAAACAGAGACCTA
Source organism: Homo sapiens (assembly GCF_000001405.40). Taxonomy (NCBI): domain Eukaryota; kingdom Metazoa; phylum Chordata; class Mammalia; order Primates; family Hominidae; genus Homo; species Homo sapiens. The sequence goes on along the minus strand of NC_000002.12, from coordinate 30,864,005 downwards.
CAGAGCTGTAATCGCTACAGCAGCCAGGCTTGACTTCTGTCCCTGCCTCATATTTCTGCTCCATTAAATTCTACTTTTTTTTTTGAGATGGAGTTTCTCTCTTGTTGCCCAGGCTGGAGTGCAATGGCACAATCTCAGCTCACTGCTGCAACCTCCACCTCCCAGGTTCAAGCGATTCTCCTCCTCAGCCTCCTGAGTAGCTGAGATTACAGGCGTGTGCCACCACGCCTGGCTAATTTTTTGTATTTTTAGTAGAAATGGGGTTTCACCATGTTAGCCAGGCTGGTCTCGAACTCCTGACCTCAGGTGATCTGCCCACCTTGGCCTCCCAAAGTGCTGGGATTACAGGCATGGGTCACTGCTCCCGGCCTTTGAGCCATTAAATTCTATCTTTTGACCTCAGATTTACAGTCCCACACTTGGCTTGTACATCACCTTCCTTTCCTCTTTAGCAACACCTTACTCCCCAGAAAACAAAACAAAACAAAAAAATCAAAAGGCCTGCACTTGTCATTCAAGCCCCTGCATGATTTGGTATTGACCTTCTCTGAACCAATCCTCCTCCCTGGGGAGGAGTCTCAGCAAGCCCACTGTTTGTATTCTATGTTTTTAGAATTTAGCTTTTTTTAGGAGGGCTGTGATTTAAAAATATATACAAATAAATTATGTTCCTGTATGCCAACAACGGTATTTCAGCATTAAACACAAAGATGTTTATTGCACCAACATACCTTACAGTGAAAAGTAAAACCAAGCTATGTGGCCAACCACAATGGAAGTGTTAAGAATAAAGCAGTTCTATTCTTTAAGTTAGTATTATATAAAGCTGCTAAAATGGGGTAAGAACCCATGGCATGGGAATGTTTGACTCCCCACAGTAGGAATAGCTAAAGGAAAATAGAGTCTATTTCTCCAAGGCCCCCTGGGCAAAAATAATAATAATGTAGATTAATCAAGCTTCACATTAATTTATAAAGTTTCCAGTTCTTGACAGCTCTTCCTTGAAGCCGTCCCTGATAGCAGCTGACAGAGTGCAAAACATAATGGGCCTGGAATCAGAAACCATTAATTCAAAGCCCAGCTGGGCCACTGGGACTTCAATGTGCCCACCTGTGAAGTGGGGCAGATCCTGTTCAGTGTAGGGAGCTGTGCTGAACATAATGGTAGCTGGTGGCATCCCCACTACTGGGTTTCTCCTAATGATCTTTTGATGAAGGGGCAGTAGCATTAGGGGCTTTTTTGCAAGCATAGAGAGAATGAGGGCAGCTTCACTCCAGTGCCCTGGCAGAAAAGTGGGTGAATCACTGCCCTGTTTGAGCTTGCAGATCCACCAGCTTCTTCCTTAACTTGAATCAAACTGATTTGCTGGCCAGATGTGGTGCCTCACACCCGTAAGCCCAGCGCTTTGGGAGGCCAAGGCATGAGGATAATTTGAGGCTGGGAACTCAAGACCAGCCTGGGCAATACAGCAAAAAGTTGTCTCTACAAAAATAAAAATTAAAAAAAAAACTACCCAGGTGTGGTGGCATACACCTGCAGTCCCAGCTACTCAGGAGGCTGAGGTGGAAGAATTGCTTGGGTTCAGGAGGTTGAGGCTGCAGTGAGCCTTGATTGCACCACTGCATTCCAGCCTGGGCAACAGAACAAGACTCTGCCTAAAAATAAATAAATAAATAAATAAAATTTAAAAATATATCTATTTATTGATTTGCAGCAATCTGTCCACACGGTGGCAGGAGTGAAGAGGCAGAAACCTACTGCCATGGGCTCCCCCTGGAGTCCTGCCATATTCATGGCTTCTGCTGAACCAAAATATTAGAATTAGGCCTAATAGCAATGATGGTAACATCCACATGCACCTCTGGGGTTTCTCATGCTTTAGCAACCATTTAAAGGACCATTTTCAGCTCTGGTAAACAAACAAGACAATTACTATTTCCACAGGATGTTGCTACCACCAAATGCTCTTACAATATTTAGTTGAACTGGACGTGCTGGTGGAAACCACTGGGGAAAGACTTCAGCTCTGTGTTGAAACACTCAACCTGGGAATTTGTCCTCCAGGGCCACATAGAAGCTGGATAAGTATCTGAGTATCTGAGTTTGCTTTCTTAAGCCCTTCACTTAGAATCCTGTAAAATGGCTAAGAACAGTGGCTCTCAAACTTTTTAAGCAGCAGAATGTTTTTCTCTCAAATGAAATCTCATCTGGAACTTGATACATATCAAACAGGTAAATGGTAATTACTTTTTATGCATTTAAAAAGTAATTTCTAATGACTAGAAATTTTTACAAAGTCAATCAGTGACAATGAGGTTGTTTTAACAGAAAACATTAAGTCAGGGATCGTGGATGACAGTTGCATTTTTTTGGCATACACTTCAGCATCTGACTTCTATCTGTATTTTATTTTGGTTGCATTACATGAATAATGGACAATCATATTTCAACACTGCTCTGAGTGCTTCAAACATGTCAACTCATTTAATTCATAACTCTCTGAGACACTATTATTCCCAGGTGAGTAAAGGGAGGCCCAAATAGCTAGATACGTGGCCCAAAGTCACAGAGCAAGCTAGAGCTGGGCTTCAAACCTAGGCAGCCTAGTCCCATAGTCTATGAACTGAATAATGATTTTCTTTTGCTGCTTCAATTAAAAGCCTACTATATATATGTAGTTGTAATTAATAACTTTTTAATTGCCTGCCTTGCAAGCTCAGACTATTCTTTAATTAAACTTGGAAAGCAGAAGAGGTTTCATTCCAAGCTCCAAGCAAAAAAATAAATTAAAAAAAAAACCTAACATCAAAAGCACCCGCATTAGGGTTTCAGGGAACAATTTGAAAATTCCTGACCTACAGCATGAGGGACATCTTGAAGGGCCAATCCGCCTGTCAAAACCCACGTGTGAAGGATCCTCAGGGGGTAGTAGAGACAAAAAACATTGGCTGGCATTTTACCAAATGGAAATCTCTAGTCTCTGGCACTACCAATATTCCCCATTACAAATCTTCCAGCTGGTAAACAGAATGATGCCACTGACATTTAATTGAAATGTCAGCACATTTAGAAAGAGCCCTGATGAAACTGCCAAGTTAAAGTTATCGCTGATGACTTAAGCTAAATAGAAACAGAAAATCACCATGAATATCCCCCACTTCCCACCCCTGCACTATAATATCAGACGGAGAGAAAGCAGAGAGCTCAGCTGTCCAAGAAAAATTTACAGATAGTTTTTAAATGGAGTTTTATTCTAGCTATGAAAAACTATGGGGTAATTGGAAAACACTTGTGAAAGTAATCAGGTCTGAGACAGGCCAATGCCCACGTAAATCAATTCAACAAGCATACATTGATTAAATTGCCTTTGGATAGTAATATTGCCTTACATTTATTTGCATAGTTTACAGTTTATAGAGGCTGTGGTAGATGGCAGAAATGGCCCAATTCTTCACCACTCTCTGATCCTCACCTTATGCCACTGTAACTTTGTCACACGATCTCACTCTGTTGCTGGGCTTAACCATGTGATTTGTTTTAGCCAATGGGATGTTAGGAGATGTGCCATTGCAGAGGCTAAAAAAGCACTTGTGTGTTTCCACTCATCCTTGCCCTATATTTCGCCATTAGAAAACATGCCCATGGAATAGAACCAAGGCATCCCATTGTTCCAGCCAATGGCCATCCTAGGTCAGCAATAGATAGGTAGCTCACTTCCAGGCATGCACGCGAGCCCAGCCCGTATCAGCAGACACAATTAGTTGACCTGCAGCTGAGCACAATCACATGTGCAAGTAGAGTTAGGAGCAGCCAAGCTCAGATCAGCTGAAGCCCAGTCTCATGAGCTAATTCAGTGAGTCCTCTTGGATGCCACTGTGGTTTTGAGGGTTTTGTTCAGCATCATGAATGTGACAACAGATGTCTGGTGAAGAGACTTGCCTTGAACAGCCTCCTTTGTCCCCTCCTTGGGAAGCAATGTGGGACAGGGCTTACTTCTCCCGTCTTATAGATAAGAACATTGTGCTTCATACAGGTTCAGTGGACAGCCTTGATTCCCACAGCTGCTGCTTCCCGGGCCCATTCTCTGCTCATGTGTAAGTCATGAAGTGTCTCTGAAATACTTAGCCAACAGCATTAACCTAGCAGCTGAATCCCTTTTTTTTTTCTTTCAGATCAAAACAGCAGGTTTTATAAGTTGAAAGCACAGAGGGAGAGCACGAGTCTCAGAAGTCTCTGGGCCCAAAAGGCAGGAGCTTCACAGCATTTGGCTCTGCAGACTCCCTCCTGTGCATGCTCACCCTGGGACACCTCCCTCCTGGCCTGGTTCCACTCTGCTTTGAAGAGATAGGTGATCCAGGCCATTGTCAGAGATGGGGTTCTCTTGCTGTCTCTCTGGCTGATTCCACGCACAGGCGTTCTTCAAATGCTGCTAGGTAGGAAAACCATGGGGAAGTTATGATGGAATGATCAAAAATAAATTTTCTGTTCTTGCAACAACTCACCTTAAAAATCCACTTACCTTTTAATTTCCCTTACTGAAGCCCAGACTCACATAAGATCCTTTACAATCTGGGTTGACCTACATTTATTTCAGTGTTACCACTGCCGTCTGCCCCTGCAACGTTCTCTGTTTCAAAATCAGAAACGTTTATCTCTTCCTGGAGCATTTTGAATTTTTGTTCATACTCATACTCCTTATTCTGTTTAGCGTTCTCTTCTCTTCCTTTTCCTCACCTGGTGGACCCCTATTCTTTCCTGTATGATTACACTCGCTTCTCTAAAATGCTTTAAAGAGGCACTTGCTTTGTGTGTCTGTTCACGTGTTTGTTCTGTCAGTCTGAGTCGGGAAAGCGTCGTGCGGCTGGCCTGGCTGCCAAGACCTGGGGCAGCCTAGTTCACAGAGCCCCCTTGGAAATCTGTGGGGAAAGTTGAGACTTCTTTCTACTGTTGGTTTGTGCCCAAGTTAAATGTGAAACATGATGGGTCCCAAAGTAGTGTGCTTTAGAAGTTCAGAGGGAGGCCAGGTGCGGTGGCTCATGCCTGTAATCCCAGCACTTTGGGAGGCCGAGAGGGGCGGATCACGAGGTCAGGAGATGGAGACCATCCTGGCTAACACGGTGAAACCCCGTCTCTACTAAAAATACAAAAAAAAAAAAAATTAGCCAGGCGTGGTGGCGGGCGCCTGTAGTCCCAGCTACTTGGGAGGCTGAGGCAGGAGAATGGTGTGAACCTGGGAGGCAGAGCTTGCAGTGAGCCGAGATCACACCACTGCACTCCAGCCTGGGCGACAGAGCAAGACTCCGTCTCAAAAAAAAAAAAAAAGAGGGAGGCCAGGTGCGGTGGCTCACGTCTGTAATCCCAGCACTTTGGTAGGCTGAAGCGGGTGGATCACTGAAGGTCAGGAGTTCAAGACCAGCCTGGCCAACATAGTGAAACCCCATCTCTACTAAAGTACAAAAATTAGTTGGGTATGGTGGTGTGCACCTGTAATCCCAGCTACTTGGGAGGCTGAGGCATGAGAATATCTTGAACCCAGGAGATGCAGATTGCAGTGAGCTGAGATCGCACCAGTGCACTCCAGCCTGGGTGACAAAATGAGACACTCTCTCAAAAAAAAAAAAAGTTTAGAGGGCGACACAGGGTCACTTCCTTTTAGAAACAGGTAGGTCTGAACAGACCCATTCACTTTAAGTGAGTCTTTTAATGTCGGTTTTTCTTTTCTTTTTAAAAATTTTTTGTTGGTATATAGTAGGTGTATATATCTATGGGGTACATGAGCTCTTTTGATACAGGCATGCAATGTGTAAGAATCACATCAGGATAAATGGGGTATCCATCACCTCAAGCATTTATCATGTCTTTGCTTATAAACATTAAATTATACTCCTTTAGTTATTTTTAAAGACACAATAAATTGTTGCCTGTAATCACCTTGTTGTGCTATCAAATACTAGATCTTATTCATTCTATATAACTATAGTTTTGTACCCATTAACCACCCCCATTCCCCCCCAACTTCCCTTCCCAGCCTCTGATAACCAGCACTCTACTCTCTAGCTCCTTGAGTTCATTTGTTTTAATTTTTAGCTCCCACAAATAAGTGAGAACATGTGAAGTTTGTCTTCCTATATCTGGCTTATTTCACATAACATAATGTCCTCCAGTCCCATCCATGTTGTTGCAAATGACAGAATATCATTCTTTTTTATGGCTGAATAGTACTCCGTTGTGCATATGTACCACATTTTCTTCATTCATCTATTGATATGGACACTTAGGTTGCTTCCAAATCCTGACACTGTGATAAATATGGGAGTGCAGATGTCTCTTCAATATACTGATTTCCTTTCTTTGGGGTATATACTTAGCAGTGGGATTGCTGAATCATATGGTAATTCTATGTTTAGTTCTTTGAGGAACCTCCATACTGTTCTCCATAGTGGCTGTACTAATTTACCTTCTGACCAACAGTGTATGAGGGTCTCCTTTTTTCCATATCCTTCCCAGATTCATTATTACCTGTCTTTTGGACAAAAGCCATTTCAACTGGAGGGAGATGGTATCTCATTGTAGTTTTGATTTGCATTTCTCTGATGATCAATGATGTTGGGCACCTTTTCATATGTCTGTTTGCCATCTATATGTCTTCCTTTAAGAAATGTCATCAGGCACAGTGGCTCACAGCTGTAATCCCAGCAATTTGGGAGGCTGAGGTGGGTGGATCACCTGAAGTCAGGAGTTCAAGACCAGCCTGGCCAACATGGTGAAACCCCATCTCTACTAAAAATACAAAAATTAGCTGAGTGTGGTGGCAGGTGCCTGTAATCCCAGCTTCCCAGCTACTCAGGAGACTGAGGCAGGAGAATCGCTTGAACTCAGGAGGCAGAGGCTGCAGTGAGCCGAGATTGCGCCACGGCACTCCAGCCTGGGTGACAGAGCAGGACTTCATCTCAAAAAAAGAAAGAAAGGAAGAAATGTCTATTCAGATATTTTACCCGTGTCTTAATCAGATTATGAGATTTTTTTCCTGTTGAATTGAGTTCCAACCAAAATACATATTTTGGTTATTAATCTTTTGTCAGATGGATAGTTTGCAAATATTTTGTCCCATTCTGTGGGTTGTCTCTTCATTTTGTTGTTTTCTTCCTTTGCTGTGCAGAAGCTTTTTAACTTAATGTGATCTCCTTTGTCCATTTTTGCTTTGCTTGCCTGTGCTTATGGGGTATTACTCAAGAAATCTATACCCATACCAATGTCCTGGAGAGCTTACCCAATGTTTTCTTTTAGTAATTTTATAGTTTGAGATTGCAGATTTAAGTATTTAATCCATTTTGATTTGATTTTTGTATATGATGAGAGGTAGTCTAGTTTCATTCTTCTGCATATGGATATCCGGTTTTCCCGGCATTATTTACTGACGAGACTGTGCTTTCCCCAGTGTAGATTCTCGGTATGTTTGTAAAAAATTAATTCACTGTAGATGTATGGATTTATTTCTGGGTTCTCTGTTATGTTTCATTGGTCTCTGTGTCTGTTTTTATGCTAGTACCATGCTGGGTTTTGGTTACAGTGGCTCTGTAGTATCATTTGAAGTCAAGTAATGTGACTCCTCCAGTTTTGTTATTTTTGCTCAGGATGGCTTTGGCAATTCTGGGTCTTTTGTATTTCCATATATATTTTAGGATTATTTTTTCTATTTTTGTAAAGAATGTCATTAATATTTGGATAGGCATTGCTTTGAATCTGTAGATTGCTTTGGGTAGTGCGAACACTTAAAGAATATTATTTCTTCTCATCCATGAACATGGAATATCTTTTCATTCTTTTGTGTCTTCTACAATTCCTTGCATCAGTGTTTTATGGTTTTCATTGTAGACATCTTTCACTTCTTTGATTAAGTTTATTCCTAGGTATTTTATTTTGTTCATAGCTATTGTAAATGGGATTACTTTCTTGATTTCTTTTTCAGATTCTTCACTGTTGGCATGTAGAAATGCTGCTGGTTTTTATATGTTGATTTTGTATCCTGTAACTTTACCAAATTTGTTTATCAGTTCTAATGATTTATAGTAGAATTTTTAGTTTTTTCTAGATGTAAGATCATACTATCTGCCAACAAGGATAATTTGGCTTTTTACTTTCCAATTTGGATGCTCTTTATTTTTTTTCTCTAGCTAGGACGTCCAGCACTATGTTAAATAAACAGTGGTGAAAATGGGCATCCTTGTCTTGTTCCAGATATTAGAGGAAAGGTTTTTCTTCATTCAGTATGATACTAGCTGCAGGTCTTCGTTTTAGAAACAGGTAAATCTGAACAGACTCATTCACTTTAAGTGAGTCTTTTTTCTGGCTTTTATTGTGTTGAGGTATGTTCCTACTATACCCAGTTTTTTGAGGATTTTTATCATGAGAGGATGCTGAATTTTATTACATGCTTTTTCAGCATCAGTTGAAATGGTCATATGGTTTTTGCTCTTCAATCTGTTGATACAATATATCACAGTGATTGATTTGCATATGTTGAGCCATCCTTGCATCTCTGGGATAAATCCCACTTGATCATGACAAATGACCTTTTTAATATGTTGTTGAATTCGGTTTGCTAGCATTTTGTTGAGAATTTTTGCATCAGTGTTCATCAGGGATATTGGTCTGTAGTTTTCTTTTTTTGATGTGTCTTTGTCTGGTTTTAGTATCAGGGTAATACTGACCTCATAGAATGAGTTTTGAAGCGTTCCTTCCCCATCTATTATTCAGAATAATTTGAGTAGAATTGGTTTAGTTCTTCCTTAAGTGGTTTGGTAAAATTCAGCAGGGAAGCCATTGAGTCTGGGGCTTTTCTTTGCTGGGAGACTTTTTATTGTGGCTTTGATCTGTTACCTGTTGTTGGTCTATTTAGGTTTTGAATTTCTTCATCGTTTAATCTTGGTAGGTTGCATGTGTTTAGGAATTTATCCATTTCTTCTAGATTTAATGATTTATTGGCATATAGTTACTCATAGTAGTCTCTAATAATCCTTTGATTTTCTGTGGTATCAGTTGTAATGTTGTATTGTCTCCTTTTTCATCTTTGAATTTATTTACTTGGGTATACTCTCTTTATTCTCAGCCTGGCTAAAGGTTTGTCAATTTTATCTTTTAAAAAAACTAACTTTTCATTTAGTTGATCTTTTGTACTTTTTATTTCAATTTCATTTATTTTTGCTCTGATCTTTATTATTTCTTCTACTAATTTTGGGTTTGGTTTGCTCTTGCTTTTCTACTTCCTCAAGATGCACAATTAGGTTATTTATTTGAAGTTTTTCTCCTCTTCTGATATAGGTACTTATTGCTATAAACTTTCCACTTAGTACTGCTTTTGCTGTATCCCATAGGTTTTGGTATATTGTGTTTCCATTTTCATTTGTTTCAAGAAATTTTTAAATTTCCTTATTAATTTCTTCATTGACTCACTTGTCATTCAGGAGCAAGCATATTGTTTAATTACCATGTGTTTTTATAGTTTCCAAAGTTCCTCTTGTTACTGATTTCTAGTTTTATTCTATTATGTTCAGATAAGATATTTGGTCTGATTTCAATTTTTAAAAATAGTTTGAGACTTGTTTTGTAACCTAATGTATGGTCTGTCCTTGAGAATGATTCATGTGCTGAGGAGAAGAATGTATTCTGCAGTCATTGGATGAATTGTTCTGTAAATATCTGTTAGGTCCATTTTGTGTGTAGTGCAGATTAAGTCCAATGTTTGTTCATTGATTATCTTTTATATATATATATATATATTTTAAACTATACTTTAAGTTCTAGGGTATATGTGCACAACGTGCAGGTTTGTTACATATGTATACATGTGCCATGTTGGTGTGCCGCACCCGTTAACTCGTCATTTACATTAGGTGTATCTCCTAATGCTATCCCTCCCCATTCCCCCCACCCCACAACAAGCCCCAGTGTGTGATGTTCCCCTTCCTGTGTCCAAGTGTTCTCATTGTTCAATTCCCACCTATGAGTGAGAACATGCGGTGTTTGGTTTTTTTGTCCTTGCGATAGTTTGCTGAGAATGATGGTTTCCAGCTTCATCCATGTCCCTACAAAGAACATGAACTCATTTTTTATGGCTGCATAGTATTCCATGGCGTATATGTGCCACATTTTCTTAATCCAGTCTATCATTGTTGGACATTTGGGTTGGTTGCAAGTCTTTGCTATTGTGAGTAGTGCCACAGTAAACATACGTGTGCATGTGTCTTTGTAGCAGCATGATTTATATTCCTTTAGGTATATACCCAGTAATGGAATTGCGGGGTCAAATGGTATTTCTAGTTCCACATCCCTGAGGAATCGCCACACTGTCTTCCACAATGGTTGAACTAGTTTACAGTCCCACCAACAGTGTAAAAGTGTTCCTATTTCTCCACATCCTCTCCAGCACCTGTTGTTTCCTGACTTTTTAATGATCGCCATTCTAACAGGTGTGAGATGGTATCTCATTGTGGTTTTGATTTGCATTTCTCTGATTGCCAGTGATGATGATCATTTTTTCATGTGTCTGTTGGCTGCATAAATGTCTTCTTTTGAGAAGTGTCTGTTCATATCCTTCACCCACTTGTTGATGGGGTTGTTTGTTTTTTTCTTGTAAATTTTTTTAAGTTCTTTGTAGATTCTGGATATTAGCCCTTTGTCAGATGAGTAGATTGCAAAAATTTTCTCCCATTCTGTAGGTTGCCTGTTCACTCTGATGGTAGTTTCTTTTGCTGTGCAGAAGCTCTTTAGTTTAATTAGATCCCATTTGTCAATTTTGGCTTTTGTTGCCATTGCTTTTGGTGTTTTAGACATGAAGTCCTTGCCCATGCCTATGTCCTGAATGGTATTGCCTAGGTTTTCTTCTAGGGTTTTTATGGTTTTAGGTCTAACATTTAAGTCTTTAATCCATCTTGAATTAATTTTTGTATAAGGTGTAAGGAAGGGATCCAGTTTCAGCTTTCTACATATGGCTAGCCAGTTTTGCCAGCACCATTTATTAAATAGGGAATCCTTTCCCCATTTCTTGTTCTTGTCAGGTTTGTCAAAGATCAGATAGTTGCAGATGTGTGGTATTATTTCTGAGGGCTCTGTTCTGTTCCATTTATCTATATCTCTGTTTTGGTACCAGTACCATGCTGTTTTGGTTACTGTAGCCTTGTAGTATAGTTTGAAGTCAGGTAGTGTGATGCCTCCAGCTTTGTTCTTTTGGCTTAGGATAGACTTGGCAATGCAAGCTTTTTTTTGGTTCCATATGAACTTTAAAGTAGTTTTTTCCAATTATTTGAAGAAAGTCATTTGTAGCTTGATGGGGATGGCATTGAATCTATAAATTACCTTGGGCAGTATGGCCACTTTCACGATATTGATTCTTCCTATCCATGAGCATGGAATGTTCTTCCATTTGTTTGTGTCCTCTTTTATTTCATTGAGCAGTGGTTTGTAGTTCTCCTTGAAGAGGTCCTTCACATCCCTTGTAAGTTGGATTCCTAGTTATTTTATTCTCTTTGAAGAAATTGTAAATGGGAGTTCACTCATGATTTGGCTCTCTGTTTGTCTGTTATTGGTGTATAAGAATGCTTGTGATTTTTGCACATTGATTTTGTATTGCTGAAGTTGCTTATCAGCTGAAGGAGATTTTGGGCTGAGACAATGGGGTTTTCTAGATATACAATCATGTCATCTGCAAACAGGGGCAATTTGACTTCCTCTTTTCCTAACTGAATACCCTTTATTTCTTTCTCCTGCCTGATTGCCCTGGCCAGAACTTCCAACACTATGTTGAATAGGAGTGGTGAGAGAGGGCATCCCTGTGTTGTGCCAGTTTTCAAAGGGAATGCTTCCAGTTTTTGCCCATTCAGTATGATATTGGCTGTGGGTTTGTCATAGATAGCTCTTATTATTTTCAGATACGTCCCATCAATACCTAATTTATTGAGAGTTTTTAGCATGAAGGGCTGTTGAATTTTGTCAAAGGCCTTTTCTGCATCTATTGAGATAATCATGTGGTTTTTGTCTTTGGTTCTGTTTATATGCTGGATTACATTTATTGATTTGCATACGTTGAACCAGGCTTGCATCCCAGGGATGAAGCTCATTTGATCGTGGTGGATAAGCTTTTTGATGTGCTGCTGGATTCGGTTTGCCAGTATTTTATTGAGGATTTTTGCATCGATGTTCATCAGGGATATTGGTCTAAAATTCTCTTTTTTTGTTGTGTCTCTGCCTGGCTTTGGTATCAGGATGATGCTGGCCTCATAAAATGAGTTAGGGAGGATTCCCTCTTTTTCTATTGATTGGAATAGTTTCAGAAGGAATGGTAGCAGCTCCTCTTTGTACATCTGGTAGAATTCGGCTGTGAATCCATCTGGTCCTGGACTTTTTTTGGTTGGTAGGCTATTAATTATTGCCTCAATTTCAGAGCCTGGTATTAGTCTATTAGGAGATTCAACTTCTTCCTGGTTTAGTCTTGGGAGGGTGTATGTGTCAAGGAATTTATCCATTTCTTCTAGATTTTCTAGTTTATTTGTGTAGAAGTGTTTATAGTATTCTCTGATGGTAGTTTGTATTTCTGTGGGATCGGTGGTGATATCCCCTTTATCATTTTTTATTGCATCTATTTGATTCTTCTCTCTTTTCCTTTTTTATTAGTCTTGCTAGTGGTCTAACAATTTTGCTGATCTTTTCAAAAAATCAACTCCTGGATTCATTGATTTGTTGAAGGGTTTTTTTGTGTCTCTAGCTCCTTCAGTTCTGCTCTGATCTTAGTAATTTCTTGCCTTCTGGTAGCTTTTGAATATGTTTGCTCTTGCTTCTCTAGTACTTTTAATTGTGATGTTAGGGTGTCAATTTTAGATCTTTCCTGCTTTCTCTTGTGGGCATTTAGTGCTATAAATTTCCCTCTACACACTGCTTTGAATGTGTCCCAGAGATTCTGGTATGTTGTGTCTTTGTTCTCATTGGTTTCAAAGAACATTTTTTTTTTTTAATACTTTTAAGTTTTACGGTACATGTGCCCAACGTGCTGGTTAGTTACATATGTATACGTGTGCCATGTTGGTGTGCTGCACCCATTAACTCGTCATTTAACCTTAGGTATATCTCCTAATGCTATCCCTCCTCCCTCCCCTCACCCCACAACAGGCCCCGGTGTGTGATGTTCCCCTTCCTGTGTCCATGTGATTTCTGCCTTCATTTCGTTATGTACCCAGTAGTCATTCAGGAGCAGGTTGTTCAGTTTCCATGTAGTTGAGTGGTTTTGAGTGAATTTCTTAATCCTGAGTTCTAGTTTGATTGCACTGTGGTCTGATAGACAGTTTGTTGTAATTTCTATTCTTTTACATTTGCTGAGGAGTGCTTTATTTCCAACTATGTGGTGAATTTTGGAATAAGTGTGATGTGGTGCTGAGAAGAATGTATATTCTGTTGATTTGGGGTGGAGAGTTCTGTAGATGTCTATTAGGTCCGCTTGGTGCAGAGCTGAGTTCAATACCTGGATATCCTTGTTAACTTTCTGTCTCGTTGATCTGTCTAATGTTGACAGTGGGGTGTTAAAGTCTCCCATTATTATTGTGTGGGAGTCTAAGTCTCTTTGTAGGTCTCTAAGGACTTGCTTTATGAATCTGGGTGCTCCTGTATTGGGTGCATATATATTTAGGATAGCTAGCTCTTCTTGTTGAATTGATTCCTTTACCATTATGTAATGGCCTTCTTTGTCTCTTTTGATCTTTGTTGGTTTAAAGTGTTTTATCAGAGACTAGGATTGCAACCCCTGCTTTTTTTTGTTTTCCATTTGCTTGGTAGATCTTCCTCCATCCCTTTATTTTGAGCCTATGTGTTTTTCTGCATGAGAGATGGGTCTCCTGAATACAGCACACTGATGGGTCTTGACTCTTTATCCAATTTGCCAGTCTTTATCTTTTAATTGGAGCATTTAGCACATTTACATGTAAGGTTAATATTGTTATGTGTGAATTTGATCCTGTCATTATGATGTTAGATGGTTATTTTGCTCATTAGTTGATGTAGTTTCTTCCTAGCATTGATGGTCTTTACAATTTGGCATGTTTTTGCAGTGGCTGGTATAAGTTGTGCCTTTCCATGCTTCCTTCAGGAGCTCTTGTAAGGCAGGCCTGGTGGTAAGGCAAGCAAATCTCTCAGCATTTGCTTGTCTGTAAAGTATTTTATTTCTCCTTCACTTATGAGGCTTAGTTTGGCTGGATATGAAATTCTGGGTTGAAAATTCTTTTATTTAAGAATGTTGACTATTGGCCCCCACTCTCTTCTGGCTTGTAGAGTTTCTGCTGATAGATCCGCTGTTAGTCTGATGGGCTTCCCTTTGTGGGTAACCTGACCTTTCTCTCTGGCTGCCCTTAACATTTTTTCCTTCATTTCAACTTTGGTGAATCTGACAATTATGTGTCTTGGAGTTGCTCTTCTTGAGGAGTATCTTTGTGGTGTTCTCTGTATTTCCTGAATTTGAATGTTGTCCTGCCTTGCTAGGTTGTGGAAGTTCTCCTGGATAATATCCTGCAGAGTGTTTTCCAACTTGGTTCCATTCTCCCCGTCACTTTCAGGTACACCAATCAGATGTAGATTTGGTCTTTTCACTTAGTCCCATATGTCTTGGAGGCTTTGTTCATTTCTTTTTACTCTTTTTTCTCTAAGCTTGTCTTCTCACTTCATTTCGTTCATTTGATCTTCCATCACTGATACCCTTTCTTCCAGTTGATCTAATCGGCTACTGAAGCTTGTGCATGCATCACGTAGTACTTGTGCCATGATTTTCTTCTACTTCAGTTCATTTAAGGTCTTCTCTACACTGGTTATTCTAGTTAGCCATTCATCTAATCTTTTTTCAAGGTTTTTAGCTTCTTTGCAATGGGTTCTAACATCCTCCTTTAGCTCGGAGAAGTTTGATCGTCTGAAGCCTTCTTCTCTCAACTCATCAAAGTCATTCTCTGTCCAGCTTTGTTCCATTGCTGGAGAGGAGCTGCGCTGCTTTGGAGGAGAAGAGGCGCTCTGATTTTTAGAATTTTCAGCTTTTCTGCTCTGGTTTCTCCCCATCTTTTGGTTTTATCTACCTTTGGTCTTTGATGATGGTGACGTACAGATGGGGTTTTGGTGTGGATGTCCTTTCTGTTTCTTAGTTTTCCTCCTAACAATCAGGACCCTCAGCTGCAGGTCTGTTGGAGTTTGCTGGAGGTCCACTCCAGATCCTGTTTGCCTGGGTATCACCAGCAGAGGCTCAGTTGGAAATGCAGAAATCACCCGTCTTCTGCGTCGCTCATGCTGGGAGCTGTATACAGCAGCTGTTCCTATTCAACCATCTTGGAACCTCCCCCATGGATCTTTTCTTTATCCCTGACCTCTACGAGTTTGATTATTGAATGTCTTGAGGCAGTCTTATATGGGTAAATCTGCTTGATATTCTAAATCCTTCTTGTACTTGAATATTGATATCTTTCTCAAGGTTTGAAAAGTTCTCTGTTACTAACACTTTAAATAAACTTCCTACCCCAGTCTCTCTAATTCCTCTTTAAATTCAATAACTTTTAGATTTGTTCTTTTAAGGTTATTTTCTAGACCTTGTGGGCATGTTTTATTTCTTTTTATTCTTTTTCCTTCTGTCTCTTTTGACTGTGTATTTTCAAATAGACTGTCTTGAAGCTCACTAAATCTTTCTTCTGCTTGATCAGTTCTGCTTTTGAGACACTCTGAGGTATTCTTCAGTATTTCAGTTGAATTTTTCAGCTCCAGAATTTCTGCTTGATTTTGTAAAAACTATCTCTACTCTTTTTTAAAGTTTTCTGATAGGATTCTGAGTTCCTTCTTTGTGTTGTCTTGAATTTCTTTGAGTTTCCTCAAATGACTATTTTAAATTATCTTTCTGAAAGATCACATATCTCTGTCACTCCAGAATTAGTCACTTGTGCCTTGTTTATTTTGTTTGGTGAGGTCATATTTTATTGGATGGTCTTGATGCTTGTGGATGTTCATCAGTGTCTGGGCATTGAAGACTTAGATATTTATTGTAGTCTTTGAACTCTGAGCATGTTTGTGACCATTCTTCTTGGGAAAGCTTTTTGTGTATTCAAAGGTAATTGAATGTTATCTTTGGTCACTGTAGCCATATTTGCATTAAGGGGCACTCCAAGCCCAATGCTGTGACTCTTGAAGACTTATAGAGGCACAAACTTAGTGGTCTTGAGTAAGATCTGAGATAATTCTCTGGATCACCAGGCAGAGACTTTTGTTCTCTTCACTTCCCTTCCCCCAAACACAGTCTCTATCTCTCTGTGCTTAGCTGCCTGAAGCTGGGGGAGGACTGACACAAGCACCCTTTGGCCACCATAATTGGGACTGTGCTGAGTCAGATCTGAAGCTGGCACAGCGCTGGGTATCACTCAAGACCTGTGGCAACCAATGCCTGGCTACTGTCAGTGTTCACTCAAGGCCCAAGGCCTCTTTAGTCATCAGGTGGTGAATCCAGCTAGACTTGTTTCCTTTCCTTCAGGGTGACAAGCTCCCCCTTGGCCCATGGTAAGTCCAGAAATGCCATCTGGGAGTCAATGCTGGAGTCAGGAACCTTAGGAATCTACTTGGTGCTCTATTCCCCTGCAGCTGACCTGGCACTCACAGAACAAGATAAAGTCCTTCCCACACTTTCCTCTCCTTTTCTCAACCAGAGGAGTCTTTTCACCATGGCCACCACTGCCCCAACCCTGCAGCAAGTACTGCCTGGCTACTGCTAATGTTCACTCAAGGCCCAAGGCCTCTTCCATCAGCCTGTGGTAAATGCTGCCAGGCCTGAGTCTCTCCCCTGAGGGCAGTAGGCTCCCCTGTGACCCAGGGTTAATCCAGAAATGCCATCCAGGAGCAAGAGAGAAGTCACTGGGGGAGGTGCTACACGCTTTTAAACAACCAGATCTCACGAGAACTCACTCACTATTGTGAGGACAGTGTCAAGGGGATGGTGCGAAACCATTTATGAGAAACTGCCCCATGATCCAATCACCTCCCACCAGGCCCCGCCTCCAACACTGGGAATTACAATTGAACATGAACTTTGGGTGACAACACATATCCAAACCATATCATGAGTCCTAAATACCTACTCCCCGGAAGCCTTAGGTACTCTAGGTAAGATAAATTACAAATTCTAGCCAGGCATGGTGGCACATGCCCATAGTCCCAACTACTCAGAAGGCTGGAATGGGAGGATTGCTTGAGCCCCTGAGTTAGAGGCTGCAGTGAGCTATGATTGTATCACTGTACTCCAGCCTGAGTGACAGAGTGAGACCCTGTTAAAAAAAAAAATCCAAATTCCTCCAGCCTGTAAAGGTACCCATTACATTGATTGTAAGTGCCTCTTTTTATTGATCTAGTTCCTTCACTTGCTGTGAGCTCATCAAAGGCAAATGTCCTGTTTTGTTTACCTGTGTATTTCCACATCTTGCCACCAACCTCCTCATCCCCCACTCCAAGTGCCTCCTATAGAGCCTGACACATATTTGAAGTTCAATGATTGCTTGCCGAATAAGGGAACACTAAAACAAGCTATTGGGCATTAGACTCCCAGAGGTCCTTATGAGAAGTAAAGGCACCTCCTTAGAGTCTTTGGAGAGTTCTACTGAAAAGCTGGGAGTACAGTAGAAATAGTATAGGTTCTACAGTCAGAAGATCCTAGGAATGTCATTCAGTGTCATTGGTCCTTAGTTTCCTAATCTGTAAAATGGAGATAGTATATAGTACCATCCTAATATTATCATTAAAAAGAGTTTATTTTCCCATAATCTATGACACATGGAGGAGAGTGGCAGCCATGTGTAATCTGAAAAGCTTTCACCGTAGAATTCTAACCCATGCCCTATATGAGACTCTCTGGTCTAGGTCTGAAGAAAAGAGAGTTGGGTTGGAATGGAGGAGTATATGAAGTTCTGGGAGAACTCAGAAGCCCTAGACAGTGAATGTAAGTAGTGGAGCTGACTCCCAGAAGGAAGATGAAGACAGAAAACATGAGAGGACAGGATAGTGGTGAAGGAAGGTCACAGCTGGGTCTCATTGTTGTCCCTAAAGACCAAAGATAAATACTAGGAAAAAGCCATGAAGATCTCATTATGGTTGTCTTATGGATCCTGTCTGTTTCTGTGGGGTTCCATAGTCCAAATTGATGGAGAATGTCAGAAGAATGTGAAAGCATGCTTAGGATGTCAACTTGGTCAGGGTTTGGGGTAGAAAGAAGCTGTGCAGGTGCTTTTATTCTGCATTGTCCTTGTGAGAAAAACAGAATCCAAAATTGAAAAGTGAGGTTGGCAGTGGAGCAGGAGACTAGCAGGCCTATCACCTACTGTGCAGGAGGAAAGCCATGTGAGTACTCTGACAACCAAAAGAAAGCCCCAGAGAGGGGTCCCAGTAAGATTTTCAGGAGATACTCTGTCTCCTGGCCTCCCACATTGATGTAGCCAAGGTCTTCATCATATCTTTCCTGGAATGTTACAGGAGTCTCCCCACTGATCTCTGTACTATCTATTATTGCTTCCCTTAAGCATCTACCACCAAAGTTATCTTTTTCCCCCTCTGTTTTTATAGATATATTAAAAAGTGTAATCATATATACATTTACACATACATATATATGCACATATACATATATTGCTTTTAATTATTTTATTTAAAAGGAATTGGATTATACATAGTTTTCTGTAGCTCTCTTTTCTCACCCAATAAAATCTATGAAGTTCTCTCTAAGTCTTCTGGGAATTCTTCAATTCATACTTTTTTATGGTTACATAATATTCTGCAGTGTATATATGCCGCAATGTATTCAGTTTGGGGCATCTATAAACATCAATAACCAGTTCAGCAACAATATATATATATATGTTTTTTTTCTATCTTTAGAAACTGCTATTTTTATTTATATAAGATAAATTCACAGAAGTAGGTTTGCTAGATCGAAGGATATATTACTTTGAATATTATTAATAATAGATGTCATTGGCTAGCTTTCAAAATAGCTAAGTAAATGACTATTGCAACCGGCAGTGTAAGAGAGTACTCTTTATTCCCCCACATCCCTGCCAGCAATAGATATGATAGTTCTTTTTTTATTTTTGTCAGTCTGGTGGGTGCAAAAAGATGTTTCATTGTTATTTTAATTTGGATTTCTATGACTGTCAGTGAGTTGAGCATATTTGATGCCATTTGCATATGCCCTTTTATGAACTGCATTTTGATATAATTTGTTCTATGTATTGTGATTTAGTTGTTTTGTTAATTTATAATTTATTTCCATAGTAGAGAATTAACTCTTTAGGTACAATCAGAATAAACATTTTAATAAAACTATTGTTTATTATCTTTGTTATATCCTTTTTGCAAAAATACATTAACTAAATTTTTATTGAGACACAATTCACATGCCATAAAATTTAGCTTTATAAGTGTACGAATTCATTGGTTTTTAGTATATTCACAAGGTTGTACAACCATCACCACAATCTAATTCCAGAATATATTTATCACCCTAAAGGAACCCTGTACCTATTAGCGGTCACTTCCATTTCCCTGTTCCTCCAGGCACTGACGACCGCAAATATGCTGTCTGTACGAATTTGCCTATTCTTGACATTTACAATATGTGGCTTTTTGTGTCTGTTTCATTCACTTAGCATAATGTTTCCACAATTCATCCATGTATCAAAACTTCATTTCTATTTATGGCTGAATAATAGTTCATTGTATGGCTATATCATAGTTTATCTATTCATCAACTGATAGACAGTTAAATGCTTCCATCTTTGGCCCATTAGGAATAGTGCTGCTATGGACATTTGTATACAAGTTTTTGTACAAACATATATTTTCAGTTCTCTTGGGTATACACCAAGGGTTGGAATTACTGGTCATACAGTAAGTCAGTGTTTAACCTTTGAGAAACTGCCAAACTACTTGTTTTCCAAATAAATTGTACCATTTTGTATTTTCATCAGCAATGTATGAGGATTCAAATTTTTCCATGCTTGTCATTGTCTATCTTTTTTAGTGTAGCTGCATTAGTGGGCATGAAGCACTATCTCATTGTGATTTTGATTTGTCTATTAATTTTCCTACACTGGTGTTGAAATAATATTATCCAGTGTATATCTTATCTGAAGAAATGTCTGTTCAAATATTTTGCCCATTTTTAAATTGGGTTGTCTTTTAATTGTTTAGTTGTAATGGTTATTTATATGTTATAGACACTAGACTCATCATTTGTATAGTTGCAAATATTCTCTCTCATTCTGTGTGCTATCTATTCACTTTCTTGATACTGTCCTTTGCAGCACTAAAGTTTATAATTCAATGAAGTCTAATATATCTACTTTTTCTTTGATTGATTGTGCTTTTGGTGTCATAGCTAAAAAAAACTACGGCTTAATGCAGCATTATGAAGACTTAGAAAAAAATATAGATATAAGACATTCATGGTTTCAGCTCTTTAGGTCTTTGATCCATTGGGAGTTAATTTTTATGTAAATAGTGTTATGTGGAATTACAACTTAATTCTTTCATATGTGGATAGCCAGGATCATTTTCTATCTCAGGATCATTTGTTGAAAAGACTATTCTTTCCACACTTTATTGTACTGACACCCTTGTTGAAAATCAATTGACCAAAAACATACATGTTTATTTCTGATAAACATGTATCTGATCTTTATGTCTATGCTTATGCTAGTAACATAGAGTCTTGATCACTATAGTTTTGTAGTTAATTTTGAAATTGTGAAATGTAAGTCCTCCAATCGCATTCTTTTTTAAGATTGTTTTGGCTATTCTGGGTAATTTGCATTTCCATATTAATTTTAGTACAAGCTTACAAATTTGCACACAAAGAGCAACTGAGATCTCACCTAACCTGTAGATCAACTTGAGTAGTATTGCCATCTTAACAAGATGAAGTCTTCTAATACGTGAACATGGTATGTCTTTTCATTTTATAGATCTTTAATTTCTTTCAAGGATATTTTGTAGTTTTTTCAGTGCAAGTCTTACACTACTTTTGTTAAAATTATTCCTAAGTATTTTATTCTCTTTGATGATATTATAAATGTAATTATTTTCTTAGTCTCATTTTCAGATTGTTCATCGCCTGTATATACTATTCTTTAGATCATTGACAGATTCTATTTGCTAATATTTCATTTAGAACTTTGCATCTATATTAATAAGCCATCTTAATATATAGTTTTCCTGCATTGTTGTCTATATCAGGTTTTGTTATTGGAGTTATACGGCAGGTTTTGTTTCTTTATATCATCTGGATTAGTTTAATTGCGTTGGAATTACCTGTGCTTAAGTTATATAAGAGCTCAGCTTTGACGACTGGTGACTTTTACAATAATAGATCACTAATCAGTTTTTCTATTTCTTCTCTAATAATTGATTGAGTCAAGATTTCCATTTCTTCTTAATCAGTTTTAGTAGAGTGTGTTATATTTGGAATTAATTTATTTTATATAGGTTTTAAGTTTTGTCACTATACAGTTCAAGCATGTAACTCTGGAACTTGTGTCTCCTTTTTTGTTTTAATCTTGTCTACTTTTATGATCTTTTTCCCACTTAATTAGGCTTGTAAGAGGTATGTCTGTTTTATTGGTTTTCTCAAAGAATCAATTTATTTATTTATTCTATCTTTGCTTTCTTTTTTAAAACTGATTTCAAAGAGGAAAATTAAAAATAAGCTACTTATTACCTACATACCAATGAAAAATATAACACTTCATGCAAAAATAATATAAGATGCTATAAAAGCAGTACTTAATTATTAAAGAAAGACAATGAAAAATTAAGGGACCAAGTGCCGATTTTAAACTAGGAAAATAACAGTGAAATAAACCAATCAGGAAAAATGAATCAATAAAGAGTAAAGCTGAAATCAAAGATCTTTCAAAACCCCAAGTTTTTCTTTCTTATACCTTTTCTCTCTACCTACAAGGTAGAGACAAGTTCTTAGCCTAAAGTATGGCACCTGCAGCAATTTATGTTCTAGTTCCTGTCTACCTTTTAGCTACATTAGTTGACACTCCTCATCTCACTTCATGATCCAACAGTGCCAAATTATTTGAGGTTGCCAAAATACATTCTTTTCTTGTCTTCATTTAATTGCATGTACCATTCCCACTTGTTGCAATAAATTTCATCTTCTTGCACCTGGTAAACTCTTTTTTATCTTTTAAGACATAGCTTTATGGCACCTATGTAGGAAGTTTCTTGACTTCTCCACCAGATAGAACAAATTTTTCTTTCTCTGAGCTACATATACCTGTATCTTTATATAGCTTCACTATTGCTTTCATTGCAGCTTGCATCTGCCTCTCTTACAAGACTCTGAGCACCTTGGAGGCAGAAATTATACCTTACTGTCTCTATAATGACTCCTAGCTCAGTGTTTAGAATGTATTAGTCAAGCAATATTTATTGAATGAGTGAATGAATGTCATGACTGTAATATTCAATTATCCCAAGTCCTTCTTTGCTGGAATATTCTCTCGGAGTCCTTTCTATGCTTGCTTTCTCTACTTTCTGGACTTTTGGCCCATCATAACCTTTTATTTAATGCCTTCTGCTTCTAGCAAATCAATAAAATTACTTGACCTAAAGTCTCTAACACCCTTCTGAGTGATGAATCATTAAATGGTTCTTTGTTTTCCCCCTGGTTTTAGTTGGCCTTCAGGTATCATTTCTCATACGAAGCCCCTTTATCTTTTTACTTCCTTCATTGATTCTAGGACATCATTCTCCCTGAGTACTCATTCTAAATTTCTTCACTTATCCCCTTCTGCATGACTTGCACTGGGGAGGCATAGTCGTCTTCTCCATTCCAAGTGTTCTTATGCATCCCCATGGCTTCTGTGTCTACTTCTAAATTGAAGATTCTCAAATCAGTCAATAACTCCAGCCTGGACTTATCTTAAATTCCAAGATAACATTTCTGTCAACTTACTAGATGTCCCATAGCCTCCTCAAATTCAATTGCATGCTCTTCCTTTAAGCGCCTCTTCCTTTTGTATTTCTTATCTTCAGGAATGGTGGAAATATTTCCCAAGTCACTTGATCTGTAAATGGTATCGTCTTTGCCTCTCTCTTGCTCACTGCTCATGTCATCAAATTTTGTTCGTGCCTCTGAAAATGCTTTTCATATCTCTCCCTTGTCTTCATTCCCATGGATAGAGTCCTATATCCAATCTCATCATCTTTCTCTTACATTGTAGTAATAACATTCTAATTGCTTTCTCTGCATCCAGTCTCTTTCCATCTAATGTATTCCTTACTCAGTTTTTGTTTTTGTTTTAGTTCTAAAACATAAGTCAGCTAATGTTTCACCACTAACAACATCTTTGTTAGTGTCCTACTACCCAAGGGATAAAATACACTACACTCAAGACACTCCACAACCTTTTGTATATTTTTTAAGTTTATGTCCAGTTTCTCCCCACCACATACCTTACACTTCAGGCACACAGACATCTCCATTTTCTAAGACCACTGTATTCATGTATTTGAATACTTGTTTAATACCTGTTGCCACCCACTTGACTGTAAACTCCATGAGATCAGAGACTGTCTTATTTACTATTGTATCCATAGTGATCACAAACATACCTGGCAAATAGCAAGTAAATAAATGTTCTCCCATTCTTCTTTGCCTTTGCTGTTCCATTTACGTGTGGTGCTCTTCTCCTATTTTCTTTTCTATTGGGGGATGTCTATTCACTCATCCTTGAAGACCTAGGCTAAATATCAGTTTCTCCATGATGGATGACCTAAACACATCCTTCTCCAATTCAAACAAGTAAATTTCCTTCTCTGTACACCTAAACCATTTCCTTCAAAATGTCTATTTGCATTTACCTCCTTGTGCTGTAATTACCTGAGTAAGCATCTCCTACTTTGCTAGATTCAAACTCTTAGGGAGGGAGAGAATGAGTCTTACGCATGTGTAGTTTCGAATATTGCACTTCACAGTGAAGAGGTCGCTTCTCAACCAACATTTGAGCTGGAAGAAGGTAGAGTCAGACTTGTATCTTTGGTAATGTAAAGTCTTGTCTCCAATTTGGACAGGGCTCCTCCTCTGTGGAGCACCTCTTTCGGCTATCTCTAATTCACCTGCTGTTCCTTTTCACTGAATCACAGAACCACAGAATGTCAGCACTGAAAGGGGACACTGAGATGCAGCAGTAGAAGTGACTTGTTCAAGGCACACAGTAAGAATAAGAGCCCGGGCTGGGGCCAGGTCGGCGACTCTTTTCATCCCTTGCCTTTTTTACTTTTCTTTCTCTCTCTCTCTCTCTCTCTGTCTCTCCCTCTCCCACCCACCCACCTTGTTGCATCACCCTCAACCAATTGCCTCCCTAATAGGCAACAATGAAAGAAAGGCAAAGTATCAGTAGTAAGAGAAAATGCATGGATCAAGAGGTAAGTAATACCATTTAGTTTGTTGGGCAGTTGCGGGGGTCGGGGGTTCTCTTCTTTCTGATTCTACCTACAACCCTGTATTGTAGGCTGCATTGAACTCCTAGCAGTGACCAAGAAGTCAATGACCTTGAAAGGAGCTATGAGGAGAGAAATCATTGCTCCTGGCCCTTCCCAAATCATTCACTTTCTAGAAAATGCCCAACACCTACCCAACCTGGGGGGTGGAATACTCTACTACAGCAGGGTCCAAGGCGAGCCTTGAAATGTCATGACCACCAGGAACTTAGATCCTTAAACATGTTGGCAAATGACAACCTGTATCTCACTCCATCTCCTTGGCAGACAACAACTCAAAGACAGCCTCTGATTGCTGTCCTGCCCCTACCCCCTGGGCCCAGACACGGAGCAAAGACCAGCTCAAGGAGATGTCAAGTGTCAGCCATCCTCCAGTATCAAACTTAAAAAAAACAACAAAACTGCTCTTCCCTCAATAGATGTGTTTTTATTGTAATTGCTTGAAATTTGAATAGAATGCCATAACCATCCCCATAAATTCGACTTGTTTAGATTTATTAAGCTATTTATGAAATGGTGGGTAATAAACATTCAGGATTAACAACTCTACAACTGCTCTGCACCAGTTACATATAGAGTTGCTAAACTCCCATAAAATAATTATGAATCAGTTACCATACTGACAAACCATAATTGTCAAAAGTTCAATGCAGACTTAGGGCCTTATTTAAAAGTTTGTTTTTATTTGCAGCTTTGAATCTTATCCTGTCTGCTGGCTCTCCCTCTCCTTATTCTTGTTTTCTTTCTTTCCATTCTCTCCATCATCTTCTCCCCTCCTACCACTTTCCCCCTTTTTTTCCATTTATAATATATGGAGGTAGGATAGTATGAAGGAAAGAGCAGGGATATGGGGTCATATCCATCTGAGCTCAGGACAGGCCTCTGGCACCTGCTAGTGCTAGGACATGGGGTAAACCACTTCTCTTAGTCTGTGTCTCCCTATTCATAAACATGGAGACATAGGCAGAGCATCCAGGACATAATTCTTGGGATAACTTTTGGCTCCCTCCCTCTCACCTGCTAATCCTGCCCAACTCATCCTGAGCATAGTGGCCAGACTGGTCCTCCCCAGCCCACCTCTCCACATCCTCCTCCCCACGGCTCTGACATCACAGATCAGCTGGGAGCTCAAGGCTCTTTGTGATTTGGCACATCATTTTCCAACTTCATCACCAACTTTATCATTTTATCTGGGTTCCTAGTGTTATCTGAATTTGAATTCAAATTGAATTAAAATATTTTAATTGTGGTAAGATATACATAACATGAAGTTTACCATGTTAACCATTATTAAGTGTACAGTTCAGTGATATTAAATACACTCACAGTATTGTGCAGCCATCATCACTGTTCATCTCCAGGGCTCTATTCATTTTGCAAAAGTGAAACTCTATACCCATTAAATGTTAACTCCCCAATATCTCCTCTCTCTGGCTCCTGGGCAACTACCATTCTACTTTTTGTCTCTACGATTTTGGCTACTCTAAATATCTCATATAAGTGAAATCATAGAGTATTTGCCTTTTTGTGACTGGTTTATTTCACTTAGCATTATGTCTCCAAGGTTCATTGCTATTGGAACAGATGTCAGACTTTCCTTTCTTTTTAGGGCTGAACAATATTCCACTGTGTATATATACTACACATCATTTGTTTGTACCTTCATAGACAAACACTTGTGTGCTTTCACCATTGGCTATTGGGAGCAATGCTGCTATGAATATGCGTGCACAGATATCTCTTTGAGTCCCTGCTTTTATATATTTTGGGTTTATATAGGCAGAAGTGAAATTGTTGGGTCATATGTTAATTCTGTATTTAATTTTTTGAGGAATCAACACACTGTTTTTCATAGTAACAAAAAAAATTTGCTAAAAGGTCTTTTCACTAATTTTAAGAGTAATATACATGCTTTATGAACAACTTGGAAAATATAGAAATGTCCATAGATGAAAATAAGTTGCTGATAACACTGCTGTTCAGAGGTAACCTGAATTTTGAAATATTTCCATCCAAACTTTTTCCTCCACATCTTTACATTTATGAATTTATCTGAATTTATTTTCATTTTTCAAAAAATTATTTAATAGTACTGCCTATGTGTTCCAATATAAATTTACTATAATTTTTAGGATACAGCTAATTTAGATCAAGTGTTTATTAAAATTTATTCTTCTACAAAATTATCTTGCCTTTTTATAAAAGTTGTGTGACAACTCTAAGAATAGAAAATTAATCAAATATCTAAATTTTTTAAAACAGTGGGTTCTCTCAAACTCAAAGCCCCTGCCCTGCACCTCTATCCCCCACCTCTTTAATTTGAAAACAAGTAAAACAGTTATTTTTATCTTGAAGAAATAGGTAATAAAAATGTAAAAATCAATAAGGATGAAAAAAAACCCTATTATCCTATGATTAAGGAAGAAAATATAGGTTTTGTTTTGCAAGTCCTAGGTTCTTTTTTCTTCTTGCATAATTGTTATAAAACTACATTTGCCTAGTTATTAAATTGCTTGAACAACTGCTATACTCCAGTCTTAATGAAATTAATTGTAATGGCTTCATACTATTACCCCAAGGGCATGTATCATAATTTACCTACATTCAGATGTTGTTTGATTCAGGGTCTGTTTGACACAGGGGAATGGATTTACTACCCATGATCCACGGGCTTCACACTTTCTTTTTTTTCTTTTTCTTTTTTTTGAGACAGAATCTCACTCTGTCATCCAGGCTGGAGTGCAGTGGTGCGATCTCAGCTCACTGCAACCTCTGCCTCCCGGGTTCAACCAATTCTCTGCCTCAGCCTCCCAACTAGCTGGGATTATAGGCACCCGCCACCATGCCCGGCTAATTTTTTTGTATTTTTAGTAGAGGCGGGAGTTCACCATCTTGGCCAGGCTGGTCTTGAACTCCTGACCTCATGATCCACCCCCTCGGCCTCCCAAAGTGCTGGGATTACAGGAGTGAGCCACTGCGCCCAGCCAGGCTCATACTTTCTAAAAAGCCCTACCTTCCCCTTTCTTCACCGCTGAACTGTGTCTCTCTGCTCCTGAAATCACTGTCTATGTGTCTTCCCTCCTCTTAGAAGCTTTCCTTGATTTCATTTTACCCCATTTACCTAAATACCTTTCAATCCAGTTAGCATTTAAATATATGTACAGAGAAAGACACATTAAAAACAGAGAGAAACTAATTTCAGGAAGAATTTTATGAATAGTGCTGAGTCTACATCCCTGGAATGCAAGCTCCCTTCAAATTAATGTTCTCCAAAACAAGTTATCATTGATAGAATTTCCATTTAAGGAATTATATATGTGGGCAACTCCCTAAGCACCTGGCATCATCACCAAAGAAGAGTGTCTAACATTGAGAAAAGGACAGCCCCGAATGTTAACCAGTGCTGTAGTATGTTATCTGCATGTGATTCTTCATAGGACTCAACTAGATTCAAAAACACATTTTAAAAGAAGTTTCAGAAATGGAACATTGCCCATTTGGAAATCTGAATATTATATCTCTATCAAAACATAATGGGCCAGATTCTCAGCTGCTTCCAAATTCAGTCTAGAAAAATCTTACAAAAATCTCTTCAAACAAAATAAAACAAAATAATTCCCCTTCAAAGGATTTACATGAATAGATCACAGGTCTTTGTATCATCAAGTTTAGATACACACCTTTTGTTTAAAAAAAAATCTATAATATGAAAACTTGGAGAGGTTTCTTTCTCACATACAATTTTGAAATCAAGAGAAATCCCCTCTTTCCCACAGTCCGTAGCCAATTTTATCTCAGGAACAACCAGGAAAAACCATAGCTTTAAATCATACAAGTCCCGGAAGGGTCAAGATCAAACTATTTACAGGTCCTGCTGCAATTAACCTGGTAATCTGACATGGGAGCATTTGTCTATATGGGGTGAGTAGACTCAAAAAGAAATGTATCTCTACTAATCAGATAAGTATTTCTCAGGAATAGGGTGTACCTACTTTAAAGATTAAGCTATTTTCATTCTAAGGTGAGTCTTATGATAGACTTTAAATTCATTTTATGTAGAGATTTTCTTAAGAATTCTTTATTTCTTTATAACTATTTTATTGTTTTGTACTTGGAAAAATAAAACATTGCATTTAGTAACTATAAAAGGTGAAGGGAAGGACAGGGGTAAGAACAGAAGTTCCTGGTTACAGTGTTTAATGACATATCTCAGGGGCAAAAATGCCCTGGCCAGGAAAAGTTCTGCTGAAGGTCTTGAACTTCTCTGAGATCAGAGTGTGAATTAACTTCTGGCTCCAGGAGTCCAGGGGCTTGAAAGCTATGGAGGCTGATTTCCTTCAGCTTCTTCTGAGGTGCTTTAGGGCCATATGTCTAGGGTAGGTGAGAAATGGGGGAAAATCTTATTTAAAAAATCAAACACCTAAAAATACAGATTTAAAAATTCAAAGAGAGCAGCTCTTTTTTAAAAAATTGTGGTAACACGTATGTAACATAAAATTGACTACTCCAGGTACCTCCTATAAGTGGAATCATACAGTATTTGTCCTTTTATGAAAGGTTGACTTTATTTAACATTATGTCTTCAAGGTTTATCCATGTTGGAGCATATGTCAGAATTTCCTTCCTTTTTAGGGCTGAATAATATTCCATTGTATATGTCTGCCTCATTGTATTTATCCATTTACCCATCCATGGACACTAGCGTTGCTTTCATCCTTTGGGTATGGTTAATAATGCTGCTGTAAACATGGGTTGTACAAATATTTGATTGAGTCTTTCCTTTCAATTCTTTTGGGTATACCCAGAAGTAAAATTGCTAGATCATATGGTATTTATATTTCCATTTTTGGGGGGTGGCTGCCATAGTGTTATCCACTGTGTCTCTACCATCTTATATGCCTACTGACAGTGCATAAATGTTTTCATTTCTCCAAATCCTCACTAATGCCTGTTGTTTTCTGGTTTTTGGTTGTTTTTATTTTTGTTTTGTTTTGGGGAATACTCATATTAATGGGTGTAAAGTAGGATCTAGCTGTTTTGATTTGCATTTCTCTAGTGGCTTATGAAGTGATAAAAAGAAAAACTTCAGCCAAATTACATTTAAAGGAGTTTATTAAGCAATGAACCATTTGTGAGTCAGGCAGCCTTCTGAGCCAGGGTAGGCTCAGAGACTCCAGCACAGCCATGTGGTGGAAGAAGATTCAAAGGAAAGTGACATACAGAAAACAGAAGTGAGGTACAGAAAACGAAAACAGCTGGACCAGTTACAGCTCAGCATTTGCCTTATTTGAACATGGTTCAAGCAGTTGGCTACATTTGATTGGTCAAAATTCGGTGACTGGCTTAAGTGTAAGCTATGGTCTGTTTATACCTCCACTTGTTATAATTAAGGATGTACAGAAAAACCTTTAGGCCAAACTTAAAATAGGTAAGGAGGCAGCTTTAGGCTGAACTTGATTTAACAATTCCCCTTGTTTGATGGTCATCTCAATTTTGAGAGATTGGCCAAAAAATTAGTCATTAATGTCACTATCATCGTCGTAAACATACTTATTTGGTCTTGAAACTCATTGGGAAACAGTAGAACAGTGGGTTTTGCAAAGTGGGGACAAGGACTGACTGAAGAGAGGGTATCTCCTTATGCTGGAACGTCCTGTTTACAGGAGAAAAACAAAACCTGGTCTATTCTAGGACCTATGTGTTTCCTTAAAGTCTTAGTTTGATTATGTCACATTTAGCACTAGTGACTCTGTTTTGGTTTGGTTTGGTCTGTTGGGGCCTAGTGCATAAGCTCAGTCCAAAACAATGGCCTCTCATAATTTTGTTTAAAAAAATTCCTTTTTTGTTCAGGTTCTCTTAGGTGAGAGTGTAACCAAAATTTAGGACCTTAGCAGCACTCTCAGTTACCATCATTTTGAGTTTCCAGTCTCAGCATGTCATTCATAGGTTGTGGTGTCCTCATGATCACACTTTTCTTTCAGATCTTGTCATGCCAGTTGAAGACAGACCATTTGACCCTTTAGAGATGGCTGCACGCAAACATTTAAAACCTTTGAGAGAATATAGCACACCAGGGAGACTACTATTATGACTATTGGGAGGATAATACCAAGAGTTTACAGTATTCGCCTTACCCAGGGTCCCCATAAACCAAACCATATAAAATCAAATAGATCAAAGAATGAGCTAGATAAAGAGTCTACCTACTTAACTAAGCAGCCTCTTGGCTAGTCCCCTACAACTGAATCTCTATAATACCTGATGTGATGTATTTCTCCACAGGCCACAAGTGCCAGCAGCTGCACAGATACTTCTGTTTAGCCAGTAAATAATCTAGAGCAATTTGATTAGTTAGCATAACTTTCACAAGATAATTTAAATTCTGTTGTATAACTATAGCCTTTACAGTAGAATCTGCTATAGAGTTTATCATGAGGGATACATTTTAAATCATTGCTTCTTTTACTCCAAACCATGGAAAAAGGACCTAACAAATGATGCCCTTCTAGAAGAATGAAGGCCTCCTGGCAATATTCTCTTTAACTTATGATGTGGATTAAGAGGAGTGAACTAATGTTTTATTTCTGACTGATTAGGAGGCAATGTATGTACCATTAAAGTTTCTCACCTACATTGGTCCCTCATCTGTCATCCATCAAGGTATAAAGTTATCCATGTATAACGCTGGCTGCAAAATCCTTCACAAATAAAATCATACCCTATAAGTGTACACAACAGACCCCCTTTTCACTCCTAGTGTTTATAGAGGCATAAGGAAGGGAAAATATTCAAAGATAAAAGTCTCATGATAGTAGAGAAATCTTGATCTGTGATATTGGGAAAAGCTGTTCACATTAAGGATCCCATCTTCTGGGGAGAAACTTCCCTGGTTAGCTTTACCTTAAGAGTTCCAATGGGTGTACAGCTCCAAGAACATGGAGGGACCCTTCTTTGTTGTGAGATTATGAACCCAAGGTTCAAGGTTCTGAAGTTTTGTTGCAGTGTGGATGGCAAGGGCAGTCTTTCTCTGATGTTCTCAGAAGATCCAATCTTTGGATTCTAAATTATGAAGGGGTTGATTATCCTCAGTCAGGGAACCATAAAAGCTTTCTTTACCTGGTGAAATTATAATGTGGAATAATAATCTACTGTTATAACATCAGCCCTCTTGCATGGGAAAACAACTTTTATACAACCAGAAAACAAGCATTGAAAATGATAATTGAATGAAATTCAATGAATAAATGAATGAAATGTTTAAATGGCCCATCAGATAGCAAAATATACCTGAAGCTTTGATTGTCTTCCCAGGAATATGGGTCAATAAACTAAACATCAGTCATAAACTATTCAATTTAGAAGTCACCGCACCAATATATATTTAATTTAAATTATTTTATTTTCCATGATGAGTCAGAGAATGTAGACCTTTAAAAACAAAAGCTCTAAGAACTCAGGAAGAACAAGGCAGCTGTCCTGGTTCTCCATGAGGCCGTGCTTAATTAACATTGGACTTTTGTGTTCCTGAATACCAGATATTTCTCCAGTTTAGGTGCATAGCACTGATGACTGATGGTTTATCATAGGTAATTTAACTTAGATCATGGAGTTCATTTAAATTGTATATCTGAACAATTTCAGTATCAGCTGATTTAGCATAAAAATCTGGCAAAGTATTTTCTTGGTATTCAATTAATTTTTGTTCTACTTGGGTTAGCCGTTTTATAAACCAGTCAGTCTTCTCATTAAAGTTCTAGGAATTCTTACCCAGTCCAAATGATATGATTTTAAAGTTATCAGAAACTTGTACTTTTCAGGGTCCTTTCCATCCTTTCATGAACCTCCTAAAAGACACCATATTCCAGGATTTTGCATGCTGGTGAAGTTTTCAGAAACTGCATCAGCATTAAGGAATTAACTGTGAATTGACTTTAAGTAGTCACAGTTAAAGACACAATTGACAAAGAAATTTGGTTATTTCTGTGGTTTACAATAACTTAATAACCATAATTATGATTGATAGTATATACTTGGACATATTAAAATTTTAGAAATCCCATATAATTTTGGAACATATACTAATATTCACTAAAATATAAACTGAAGGGGGTTAAACATTAATTTTTATTTTGACAAAGCTTCCCATGTAACTTAACATGTCAAATAATCCTGTTTCCCTCTCTTTTGAATGCTTCAGGGACCCTCTATAGCATCTCAAAGTTAGAGGTCAGAAAAGATAATTTTAAAGCTGAAATTTGATTTCAGGAAGCCTATCAAATATGTTAAAGGTTTAAAACACTTGATATTATGAAATAAAAATCCAGGTTACTGTAAGTCATTCACTTAGCCAAAATGATGTCTCAAAAATTTTAAAAAGGCAAAAACATTTACTCATTGATAGAAGACAGTTTTCCAAACAATCTATCTTTTGTCTTCCCCTTCTTTTTTTGGTATTCAAAAGGCAAACAAAAATATTTCATTATCCTTTAATACTACATGAAACTCTTGTTTAAGAGAGAAGAGAAAGCCAAATTCTACCCTTGCATTAGTGTACTTTTTCTTTTTTTAGGCGGAGTCTCACTCCGTTGCACAGGCTTGAGTGCAGTGGTGTGATCTCAGCTCACTGCAACCTCTGCCTCCTGGGCTCAAGCAGTTCTCCTGCCTCATCAGCCTCCTGAGTAGGTGGGACTATAGGCATGCACCACAACACTCGGCTAATTTTTGTATTTAGTAGAGATGGGGTTTCTCCATGTTGGCCAGGCTAGTCTTGAACTACTGACCTCAGGTGATCTGCCTGCCTCAGCCTCCCAAAGTGCTGGGATTACAGGCATGAGCCACTGTGCCCCGCCATTAGTGTACCATTAATGTTAACCCCAATCTTTAATAAAAGCTTATAGACAAATTTATCAATCTTAATCAGTTTGACCATACGGTGAGATTTTCATAAACCTTCTACAACCCTTGAAAAATTTTTGTTAAAGAGCAGATAAATGCTCTAAGAAAACCCTGGTGTGCTTTCATTCCAATGTTCAATTTACAGAAAAAACTGCATAGTACTCCTTTAAATTTAGCCAATGTATTCATACACAGAATCTTTTACAATTAATTTTTCAGAAATCTTTCACAACTTGTTCAAACCTTTAGCTTTATCCTAATTTAAAACAATCCTTTAACCCTCTAAACTAGGCAAAAATTTACATTCCCATGCCTTCTTATAATCTTTTACTAAAAACACATTTTATTTTCCTTACATAACTTGCATGTTTTTTCAGCAGTTTTAATTACCTGTTACAATGTTAAATCTTAGCAATTTTTATTTTTGGTGAAAAACCTGCTAAGTAAGTGATTTTAATTATGCACTAGGCTTGGAGCCTAGGACACCAGACAGAAGTACAGATAAGGTCTGTCTCTTTCTGGAATAGCTAGGGGCATGGCTAAATCCCAATGTCCTCAGGCCTTACCTAGCTGTAAGACAGGAGAGTTGAACAATCTTCAAAAGTCAAAGAAGTAGTTTATGACCTTAAAGCATTTAGCAAACCTAATATCTGACCTGCCTAATTTAGACTAAATGTTTTTAGTGATTTAAGTGCTTGTTTTTCTTTAAGCCAATTAATTAGAGCTCTTTTATATAAACATCACACAAAAAACACGTATATAACTATACACAGAAGAAGATCCAGTAGTTGTAAGGTTTTTCATTTGGCAGTTTTTAAGTTTGTCTTAATTGGATTACTGGCTTTAGGGTGGAGCCCTTCAAGGAATAGGGCCAGGAAAGCATGCAGTTTCTAGGGCCTAATAAGCAGACACAGCTGGAAGTAAAAAACAGATCTCCAAAATTAAGCATCCCACTTTTATATCACATCCTGGATCCCCCCAAAAAGGGAAATGCTATGGGAGAAGACATTGCAATGCTTTTACTGTGCATTTCATTTCATGGCAACCCAAAGCCAATTAGCCCATTTTACAACCACTGCTTACCCCAAGGGAGTCTTATCTCTCAATTTGGGGTGGGGATATCGCCATCCTTCTAGGTGGCCAAGAGCATGCTTCCCTGATCCAAGGGTACAAAGAGCTGAATATTCCCCCATAAATGCCATTAGCCATCCCTAAAGTATATTTCCTACCTAATTATTACACACCAAACCTCTCTCATAATGCAAAGTAACTTCTGATACCTCTAAAACTCAAAACTGTCAAATAACAAATGCGAAACAGAACAGAGCCTTAGATTTTGAGAGGAATCTATCCACTTTCAATTCCTAGGGTTCCATGAAGAAAACAGGTTTTTTACCAAAATGGGGTCTATGGCAACTCTTCTGTTTTTCTCAAGGAGTCCCAGGCTATTAGAAGTTATCTTAGGTCGTCTTATGTGTGCATTAAGAATGGCAAGAAGACAAAAATGGAGAAAAATAATTAAGTCAACTGAGAAGAAATAAGAAACCTTTCTTCTTCAGAAAAGTAAGATCCAAGAGAAGAAACACCATAAAGGCCTTTTAAATATACATATAGCTTGGATATTGACTTTTAATTAAGCTGACTTTGGTGCTCTCTAAAAAAAATGTCCTTTTAAAATTCTTATTACCCTACTTTAACCAGGCCAAATGGCCAGTATTTCTGGCTTTTAAACTTTACCAAAAGTAACCTCACAAGTGAAACCAACAAGCCTCAACTATGCTTATGACTTAACCACAGTGTATGAGGTATTTTCAAAGAGGCATTAAGCAGTTTTTATAAAACTTAGAATCTTCAAAAGTAGCTCAGAGAAAGGAAAATTTAAGGGAAGCTAGAAATTGTTCATGGAGGGGAAGAGAATCAACAAATGGTAAAAGCCACGCAGATATCAACCAGAAAGCACTCATTCCTAACCCAGGACTGAACCCGGGGCTGCCATTGTAAAATGGCAAAGCCTTAGTTG
Organism: Homo sapiens; assembly: GCF_000001405.40. NCBI lineage: Eukaryota > Metazoa > Chordata > Mammalia > Primates > Hominidae > Homo > Homo sapiens. The sequence continues at coordinate 30,828,532 of NC_000002.12, read as the reverse complement.
CTGAGCTAAGTAGCATTGGGCAGCTTTCATTGCTCTTTCCAGAAGGAGTCTAGAGCAGTCAATTTTGAGCTTACACTGCTTTTAACTAAAGATAATTTTTAGAGCTAACTATGACATAAACCCCCAAATTCCTGTTCCCTAGATGGCAGAGACCAAGAGAAAGTACTGCCACGTGGTTACCAGGTCAAGCTCCCAAGGACATAAACCAAGATGAAAGCTCATCCAGTTCTTTGTTTGTTTCAGGGATCTGCAGCAAAGTTTGTTACTGACCAGCTTGCTGGGCCATCTTGAATAGTGAGCTTATGGGGGTCCTAAGCCCGTGTTCTATCCTAAGGTACTCCTCTTTGTGACAGAACCATACAGAATGACACTCAAGGCACACCAGATTCGCTACAACTTAAGACTAGCCTCAGAATCCTTTTCTGCATTAATCAAAACTTTACAGAGGAGAGAAACAGTGATTTTTTACCGTTCATTCAACCAATTTGCACAGAGAGAGAGAAAGGCCAGAGTCTGACTGGTAAGAAATTCTTACCCTTTTGCTGGCATGTCAGGCTTCTGGGTTTCTCCTCCCTGAGGGCCCTAGTGGCTCAGCTTGCTGTTCCATGGTCCTGTACATGCCTAATCCTGTCATCCACAGCTATCAGCAAAGAGTACAATGCAGATTAATCCAAAGAGAATAGCAGTAAACATCCCATAGTGTCAAATCAATTTTTAACCAAGAGGAACTTTCCTGAGGGGAGGGCCTCTAACACAATCCCATTCTTTACCCAAGTAAAATTGACCCATTACTTACCGAAAGCCAGTCAATTGGTGCTGTGGTCTATTTCCTTTGAATTGGGATTGTAACTAAGCTGAAAGGTTAGCAGATTTAATTTTTTTTAAACTAATTGCCACTTAAGCTTTTTATTTGCCTTTCGTAAAGTTTTTAAATAAAAATATTAAAATCTTTCTAGAAGCTTCTGCATATCAATAGGCATCCCTGGATGAGACTAATTTGGGAGTCCTCATTTTTAAATGCACTTCAGTGCAGTTTTGTTCATTTGGAACATTCCACTCTAAGTTATCTTTAGTAAGATTTCACCATTTCTCTAAGACTTGACTGCTTCTGGGGCCTAACACTTATGGATGTGTAAGCCAGGAGGAACTCAGTTCTTCAGAAATTAAGGATCCCATTTTTACCTAAGATATTGGCTTTGCACTCAGGTCTCCTTGATTAACTTAGCCAATGCTTTTTTTTTTTTTTTCTACCAAGAAAAAATGAAACAAAGTGATAGAACACACAAATCCCTGCAAATTTTCAAAAGCCAAATTTTACACCCCCTACAATATTACCATTTACTACCAGTTTCTTTCTGACCCAGTCAGATGTAAGAGGCCTCTAACTGGATCCAATCCAGTCAAATCCGATCCTGGACCCAGTCCAGTTTCTGTGGCAACTTCCAAGCCCAGTTTGGATCAGAAATTTGCTCAAACTCAGAAAGCTCATAACACAAATTTGTGAAGCTCCAAAATCTGAGATAATTTATCATGATCCTGATCCCTAGCTGCCCGGAGAGATTAACGGGTGCTGCAGGTACCTCACTTTGGTCACTCAGCACTCCTGGAGGGTCATTAGAAGCTCTATTTCTGATCCCACTTCTGACACCATCTATTAAAAGAAAAACTTCAGCCGAATTAAATTTAAAGGAGTTTAATTGAGCAATGAATGATTCGTGAATCAGGCAGCCTTCTGAGTGAGCCAGCACAGCCATGTGGTGGAAGAGGATTTATGGACAGAAAAAGGAAAGCAACTGTACAGAAAACAGAACTGAGATACAGAAACAGCTGGATTGGTTACAGCTCAGCATTTGCCTTATTTCAACACTGTTTGAACAGTTGGCTACATTTGGCCAAAATTCAGTGATTGGCACAAGTGCAGGCTACAGTCTGTTTACACCTCCACTTGTTATAGTTCAGGATGTATAGAAAAACCCTTAGGCCAAACCTAAAATATGTAAGGAGGCAGCTTTAAGCTAAACTTGATGTAACAGATGTTAGGCACATTTTCATGTGCTTATAGGCCATTTGTATACCTTTTTTGGAAAAAATGTCTACTCAAGTCCTTTGCCCATTTTTTAAACAAAGCAACTCATTTAAACATTTATTATTATTTATTTATTTGAGCTTCCAATTAAGATTTGAAGACACAATTCCACTGATGTAAAAAGAGAGAAGAAACACATTTAAATATGGCTAATCTATTCCATCTCCCATTTTACATGCCAGGGCTCCTCAGCTGGGCTCAGAAGTCAGCTCTGAGAGCTCTGCACCATCATATCCACACATGCCCCTTCATGGAGATAAACCCTCAAGCTCCACGTTGCTTTTCAATCATCAGAGCTAATTTTTTTCCACAGTTGTGGTACGGCATTTTGCCAGCCAAATCACTGTGTTTGGCAATGTGTCAACAGATTGGAATTTCAGATCCCTTTCCTGGAGACAAAGGGATCTGGGAAAAAGGTAGTTCTAATCCAGGAGCCCCTCACTGTTTTGTGAACTACAGATGCAATGCGCAAGCTTAAGAAGGAAAGGAGTGAAAGCAAACGTGGTCTGAACCCCTTGTCTCCAAGATTGGTTCTAGCCAGATAGCATCTCTGACAAGGTGTCCCTAAACCTCACTTCTTACTAACAAAAAGAATTCAAGTGTTGGACTGAAGGGATTTAAGAAAAACTTCAGTTGAAAAAAAGAAAGTAACTGTATTTCTTGCATTTGATCTGTCACTTGCCTTCCATAAGCCCCTCTCCTATGTCTCATGCTAACATACCCAGTTACTGAATCAAACTGGTTCAGTTTGATTTCTTGGTCAATGGCACTGGAATCATTGTTAGGCCTCTGAATGACACCTGTCTTTGAGATTCAAGAAGGGACAGAAAAAGAATGCAATCCTCCTTTTCTTTTTTTTTTTTTTTTTTTGTTTGAGACAGGGTCTTGCTCTGTCGCCAGACTGGAGTGGAGTGGTACGATCTCGGCTTACTGTAAATTCCGCCTCCCGGGTTCAAGTGATTCTCCTGCCTCAGCCTCCCGAGTAGCTGGGACTACAGGCATGCACCACTGCCCCCAGCTAATTTTTGTATTTTTAGTAAAGTCGGGGTTTCACCATGTTGGCCAGGATGGTCTCTATCTCTTGACCTTGTGATCCACCCGCCTCGGCCTCCCAAAGTGCTGGATTACAGGCGTGAGCCACCTCTCCCAGCCACAATCCTACTTTTAGGTCTCTACCTTGGCCTGAGTTCTTCTCTCCTCGCCCAGAGGCAGCCACATTCTAGGGAACAGGGCAGCCTCCCAAGAGATCTGCTCTGCCCAGCTTGTACTGAATCACAATGTTTGGTTTCTCAGGTCCTTGGGTATCAGCTGAGTTTCCAAATGTGCTTCAAGTTTGATCTAGTTTGACTGTGAGTTGTTCATTCTCAGTTATTAATAATCATGAGGTACAGAGTTGGCACAGATTATTAGAATTCATAGATGTGCTTTCTCCTATACAGCCAAGGTTGTAAATCCTTCCTCTGATGAGGTTTTCTGTACTAATTTCATAGGGCTGCCATAACAAAGTACCATACACAGAGTGGCTTAAACAATAGTAATTATCCCATAATTCTGGAGGCTGGAAGTCTGAGATCAAGATGTTGACAGGGCCACGTTCCCTCCAAAGGTGCCAGGGAAGGATCAGTTTCAGGCCTCTCTCCTCCATTCAGTAAGAGGCCTGTGGCAGCATTAACTTCGGTCCTCACATGACGTTCTCCCTGTGTACATGCCTGTCTTTGTGTCTAAATTAGAAATCTCCTAAGACACCAATCATGTTGATTTAGGGCCTTTCTGGATCATCTTATATTTTTGATTAGCTCTGTAAAGACCCTCTCTCCAAATTAGGTCACATTCTGAGGTACTGGGTGTTAGGACTCCAACATAATTCTTGGGGTGGGGAAGGAATGCAATTCAACCCATAACACAAGCAGAATCTTGGTCTGGACTCAAAGGGGTCAAATCAAGGTTTCATATGAACTTGTCTAGAACTCAACTCCTCCCTACAAAACAAAGGGCTAGGACAATGTGATCTTAAGACTGTCTTCCAGGCTGGGCGCAGTGGCTCACGCCTGTAATCCCAGCACTTTGGGAGGCCGAGGCGGGCGGATCACAAAGTCAGGAGTTCAAGACCAACCTGACCAACATGGTGAAACCCCATCTCTACTAAAAATACAAAAAATTAGCCAGGCGTGGTGGCGCACTCCTGTAGTCCCAGCTACTTGGGAGGCTGAGGCAAGAGAATTGCTTGAACCTGGGAGGTGGAGGTTGCAGTGAGCCAATATCATGCCACTGCACTCCAGCCTGGGTAACAGAGTGAGACTCTGTCCAAAAAATAAAAAAGACTGTCTTCCAGCTCTAAAATCTCCTAGTCTTAACATTTATTTTCCCTGTCATGAAAACATATCCATTTGATGTCCATTCCCCATAGGCTTGGCTTTCTACTAAGGATTCTCTCAATAATGGGTTAAACGTTTGAAAAACATGGCAACCAGTGGCATGGCATGTGCCCCACAGGTCCCAAGGCAAGGCTCACAGGCACTGAAGGGGCAGGAAGCCATCAGAGGGGGAGCAGGTTTTGAAGACAGACAGGACTTACCAGGACCCGTCAAGCCCCTCCTCCACCACCACAGGCCTCTGTGTGTCCCTCTGTGCTACTTACAGCTTCCGATCCCCGAAGACATCACATATGCCAGCCTTCTCAGCCTCAGCCTCAGCTCACTGTCTCTTCTTTATCTCGCCAGGAGAGCCACTCATGCAGAACTACAAATGTTGTCCTCTGTGATAAAATTATCCTGTGAGGGCTGGGGAATCCACCCCACGCAGCGGGCAGCCCTCAACTGACAATGCAGCTCCCAGAAAACACTCAGCAGCCAAGCTCTGAACAGTGATTAGCACAAGTGTCTGTTTTGCTTACGCTTCTTCACATAGACATTTTCAGGCTGGGTGAGTGAGATGGACACCCAGCCTCGCGCACCTCTGCAGGCGTCATCTGTGGGAGAGACCAGTGGGAAACACTGCCATGCCCTCTCTCACGGCTGGGAGTGCATTTTCCATTTTCTTTTTCCTTTTCTTTCCCCAACCCCTGCTCATTGTAGGAAGATTTAAAATGATAGAAATGTGTAAAGAAGGCATGAAGAAAAATCAGCCAGTCTTACTATACGGAGGCAATTATTGTGACATCTTGGCATTTTTGCTTCCAGAATTTTTCTAAAACATTGTGTAACACAGCTGAGATCATATTGAATATATTATTTTGAGTCCCACTTTTTTTTTGCATTTGATATTCTCACAGCATTTTGCCAAGGCTGGTTGTTAATCAGCCTTCTAATAAAATTTATTTGGGAGACTGGGATCACTACTGATGATGCAGAAGTCCCACTCGGGGTTGTTCTCCACATTGACTTTGGAATTTCTTCAGGCCAAAGAGGGGTCTCCTTTACCCTTACAACACTTGCCTCAAGTTGCAAAACTCCCTTCCTGGCCACTTCTTAAAGGAAAATTGGCCAAGGTACTTCTTGGCACTACAGTGAGAGAAGTGGAAATCTGAGAATCTGGTCCAGGACCAACATCCCACCAGGGACATTTCCAACGTTCTCTCAGCACCTTGGCTACCAGGAGAGAAGCATGAATTGGAGAGAAGTGGCTCAGTCTTGTCCTGAGTGTTCTGTGGGGTCTGATGGGGACAGACCCCAGGTGGGCAGGGCCCAGCCCAGGAGGAGCCTGCATTCACACACACTCCCATGTCCCAGATACTGCCCACATTGCTGCTTTTATTCCTCAGCCACTCTGCTAATTCATCAGCCCCATTTTAAAGACAAATTAACTGAGGCCTAAAGATTTTAGCGACTTGCCTAAGATAATAATTTCAGTAACAGCCCAACCTGAGATTCTAATCTCACCCCAAAAGTTTTTAGATCACACACATGCTGCCTCTCAAGGTCCTGAGAAGCCTCCCTTTCTCTAGGTAACTAAATTGGCGTTTGTTCATTTTGGCAAGCTTGCCTCAAAAAATAAGAAAACCAGGGTGGGTTGGTGTGGATGATGGGGGGGTGACAGGAAGAGTCGCATGCAGGACTGAGGTAGCCGATGCCCCACAGGTTCTGCGTGCTGACAACTGACGCTCTCAGCTGAGTCCCTGCCTTGCCGTAACCCTTCATTTCCCTGAACTGTAGAGAACCGCCTCGTCCAGGGTCAGCTTCCTCCCCAGAGGCAGCGGGCATACAATTACCCATCCATGTTGGGAATATAAACGGCCCGCCCCCTAGCCTGAAAGCGGGACATTTGGAGAGGTCATCCAGAGCTAACCATGGGATCAGCCAAGGCCTCTGTTGCAACAGCCTGTATTGCGAGGTCTACCCAGTTCCTCCCTCTATCCAGCTCTTCTGTCTTCCTTCCCTCCTAGATGCTGATCCCACTGGCACTCCCCAATAAGCCTGCTGCACATAAACCTCCTTCTCAGAGTTTGTTTCTCAAGGAACTTGACCTAAGACCATTAGTTATTTGCACACAGTGAAAGGAGGGTATGGCAATTCACATCTTCCCTCAAAGACTCCTCCACATCAGTGCACTCCCCTCACATTAACGGCACTGAGGGAAGAGGGTTGTATCTGAAGGAGAGGAGAGGAGGGACCAGGGAGCGCTCCCAGAACAGGCCTCGATGGGGTGGCAGAGTAGGGGCCTCTAGGTGGCCAGAGGGTACGGTCTGAGAACGGAGCTCCTGGAGGTGTCCCCACCCATGAGGGACAGGAAAGAAGGGACCCAGGAGGTAAGAAATAGACTAAACCAGGGGTTCTCAATCCTGACTGCACGTTAGATTCACCTGAACATCTCTGAAACATATTATTGCCAGGAGCACCCTGGCTTCACCAAGATTCTGGTTTGATCTGGGGTAGGTCCCAGAATGAGAACACATGGACACAGGAAGGGGAACATCACACACCGGGGACTGTTGTGGGGTGGGGGGAGGGGGGAGGGATAGAATTAGGAGATATACCTAATGCTAAATGATGAGTTAATGGGTGCAGCACACCAACATGGCACATGTATACATGTAACAAACCTGCACATTGTGCACATGTACCCTAAAACTTAAAGTATAAAAAAACAAAACAAAACAAAAAAAAACCTCTTTCCAGGTGATTCCGCTGTGGAGCCAGGCCTGAGGATTGCGTGGCTAACGGGGATGGGCAGGCAGAGAAAGCTAATACCTTCCCTAGAATCTATTCCCTCTGTTACGCAGGTCCTGACTTAACACTGAGGCTCACAGCCTGGGCCCCAGAGTCCGTGCTCACAGAAGGGAGCCCTAGCTCCTGAGCGTTTGAAGGCCAGATGACCCCCTGGCAGCATATGAAGAGAGGGTTGCCCTTTCTAAATAGTGAGCCAGCCACAACCAGGGCAAGCCCAAGGAGCCTCAAGACAGGATCCCCGGGAAGCTTAAACCTGTGGATTCTCTGGGCCCAACCCAAATTTACTAAATCAGAATTTCTAGGGAGAGGCCCGGGAATCTGCACTGTTTAACAAACTCCCCAAGTGAACCTTATGCATGGAAGTTTGAAACTGCTTAGTGCTCCCCGCCAGGGCCTTTCTCAGATGTGCCACATCACTTATATGAAAGCTTTGCTTCCTGTGTAGCCAAGGAGCCCTCGCTGCTCCTGTTTTCCAAAGCACTCAAGTAGAGGTCACTGAAAATTCCTGGATGGACAAATTAGCTGTCAATGAGGATCTGGGAAGATCACGAGAATCCTCTTCAGTAAATTCTTTCTGGTGAGTTTTTTCCTTTTAGCAGGTATGGTAAACATCGCTTGTGAATTGTTCCAAATATATTTTTTCTCATTGTGCAATTGAATTGGCAGTTTTGCATAATAAAAAGTTAACATAATGAGCCAAACAAGAAGTGAATAAAGCTTCATTGTTCGGTTCAGAGGCAGTGCTTGCACTGAGCCCACAGTCCTTATCCTCATGCGTGGCCCATTGTCTAATGATCGTCCCCTCAAAATGTAAGTATGACTCTAAAAATGATAAAAATTGATATTAATAGACTTCTACGGACCTCTGCAGTAGCATCGTCTTATCGAGGAAGCACAAAATGTTTCTTTGCCCACTCATCTTGGCTCTTTGTAATCCTAACTGAGCTTGATTGAAGCCTGACCTTTACAAGGCATCTTTGTGTATTTCTCACACACAGTGGTACTTGGAAGTTTTAACTTCCTCATTCAATTACTTTGTGATGGTGCTGGCATCCATATTAATGAAATTATTTTGATTATATTTCATAGACAATGTGTCAGTGGGCAGTTAGCAACCCCGTACGGAGCCCCAAAGTGGTTCCTCTGCTGGCTCAGACCCATGGCTTCTTCCTTCTTCCCTTTCTGGGGTCCCAGCCTGACTTCCTCTTTTCTTCAGGGTATTCACCTATCTACCTTGTTGGAGTTCCTTTTGTCACCCCCAAAACTGGCTATCAATGGAGACAGTCTCCTCAGGACATCTCTTTCTTTCTGTCCCCCACAATGAGCACAGGCATCCTTTAAATCAGTTTCTTGCCCATCACCACGGGGAACAGATAGAGGAGCCTAGGAGTCTATAGAAAAAGCTGCACTGGTCCAAGCTGGTTCTCCAAGGTCATTTTTTTTTATTTCATTTTATTTTATTATTATTTTACTTTAAGTTTTAGGGTACATGTGCACAATGTGCAGATTTGTTACCTATGTATACATGTGCCATGTTGGTGTACTGCATCCATTAACTCGTCATTTAGCATTAGGTATATCTCCTAATGCTATCCCTCCCCGCTCCCCCCCACCCCACAACAGTCCCCGGAGTGTGATGTTCCCCTTCCTGTGTCCATGTGTTCTCATTGTTCAATTCCCACCTATGAGTGAGAACATGCGGTGTTTGGTTTTTTGTCCTTGCGATAGTTTGCCGAGAATGTTGATTTCCAGTTTCATCCATGTCCCTACAAAGGACATGAACTCATCATTTTTTATGGCTGCATAGTATTCCATGGTGTATATGTGCCACATTTTCTTAATCCAGTCTATCGTTGTTGGACATTTCGGTTGGTTCCAAGTCTTTGCTATTGTGAATAGTGCCGCAATAAACATACGTGTGCATGTGTCTTTATAGCAGCATGATTTATGGTCCTTTGGGTATATACCCAGTAATGGGATGGCTGGGTCAAATGGTATTTCTAGTTCTAGATCCCTGAGGAATCGCCACACTGACTTCCACAATGGTTGAACTAGTTTACAGTCCCACCAACAGTGTAAAAGTGTTCCTATTTCTCCACATCCTCTCCAGCACCTGTTGTTTCCTGACTTTTTAATGATTGCCATTCTAACTGGTGTGAGATGGTATCTCATTGTGGTTTTGATTTGCATTTCTCTGATTGCCAGTGATGATGAGCATTTTTTCATGTGTCTGTTGGCTGCATAAATGTCTTCTTTTGAGAGGTGACTCTTCATATCCTTCACCCACTTTTTGATGGGGTTGTTTTTTTCTTGTAAATTTGTTTGAGTTCATTGTAGATTCTGGATATTAGCCCTTTGTCAGATGAGTAGGTTGCAAAAATTTTTTCCCATTCTGTAGGTTGCCTGTTCACTCTGATGGTGGTTTCTTTTGCTGTGCAGAAGCTCTTTAGTTTAATTAGATCCCATTTGTCAATTTCGGCGTTTGTTGCCATTGCTTTTGGTGTTTTAGACATGAAGTCCTTGCCCATGCCTATGTCCTGAATGGTATTGCCTAGGTTTTCTTCTAGGGTTTTTATGGTTTTAGGTCTAACATGTAAGTCTTTAATCCATCTTGAATTAATTTTTGTATAAGGAGTAAGGAAGGGATCCAGTTTCAGCTTTCTACATATGGCTAGCCAGTTTTCCCAGCACCATTTATTAAATAGGGAATCCTTTCCCCATTGCTTGTTTTTCTCAGGTTTGTCAAAGATCAGATAGTTGTAGATATGCGGCATTATTTCTGAGGGCTCTGTTCTGTTCCATTGATCTATATATCTGTTTTGGTACCAGTACCATGCTGTTTTGGTTACTGTAGCCTTGTAGTATAGTTTGAAGTCAGGTAGCATGAAGCCTCCGGCTTTGTTCTTTTGGCTTAGGATTGACTTAGTGATACAGGCTCTTTTTTGGTTCCATATGAACTTTAAAGTAGTTTTTTCCAATTCTGTGAAGAAAGTCATTGGTAGCTTGATGGGGATGGCATTGAATCTATAAATTACCTTGGGCAGTATGGCCATTTTCACTATATTGATTCTTCCTATCCATGAGCATGGAATGTTCTTCCATTTGTTTGTATCCTCTTTTATTTCATTGAGCAGTGGTTTGTAGTTCTCCTTGAAGAGGTCCTTCATGTCCCTTGTAAGTTGGATTCCTAGGTACTTTATTCTCTTTGAAGCAATTGTGAATGGGAGTTCACTCCTGATTTGGCTCTCTGTTTGTCTGTTATTGGTGTATAAGAATGCTTGTGATTTTTGTACATTGATTTGGTATCCTGAGACTTTGCTGAAGTTGCTTATCAGCTTAAGATTTTGGGCTGAGACAATGGGGTTTTCTAGATATACAATCATGTCATCTGCAAACAGGGACAATTTGAATTCCTCTTTTCCTAATTGAATACCCTTTATTTCTTTCTCCTGCCTGATTGTCCTGGCCAGAACTTCCAACACTATGTTGAACAGGAGTGGTGAGAGAGGGCATCCCTGTCTTGTGCCAGTTTTCAAAGGGAATACTTCCACTTTTTGCCCATTCAGTATGATATTGGCTGTGGGTTTGTCATAAATAGCTCTTATTATTTTGAGATACGTCCCATCAATACCTAGTTTATTGAGAGTTTTTAGCATGAAGTGCTGTTGAATTTTGTCAAAGGCCTTTTCTGCATCTATTGAGATAATCCTGTGGTTTTTGTCTTTGGTTCTGTTCATATGATGGATTACTTTTATTCATTTGCGTATGTTGAACCAGCCTTGCATCCCAGGGATGAAGCCCACTTGATCCTGGTGGATAAGCTTTTTGATGTGCTGCTGGATTCGGTTTGCCAGTATTTTATTGAGGATTTTTGCATCAATGTTCATCAGGGATATTGGTCTACAATTCTCTTTTTTTGTTGTGTCTCTGCCAGGTTTTGGTATCAGGATGATGCTGGCCTCATAAAATGAGTTAGGGAGAATTCCCTCTTTTTCTATTGATTGGAATAGTTTCAGAAGGAATGGTAGCAGCTCCTCTTTGTACATCTGGTAGAATTCGGCTGTGAATCCATCTGGTCCTGGACTTTTTTTGGTTGGTAGGCTATTAATTATTGCCTCAATTTCAGAGCCTGTTATTGGTGTATTCAGGGATTAGACTTCTTCCTGGTTTAGCCTTTGGAGGGTGTATGCATCCGGGAATTTATCCATTTCTTCTAGATTTTCTAGTTTATTTGCATAGAGGTGTTTATAGTATTCTCTGATGGTAGTTTGTATTTCTGTGGGATTGGTGGTGATATCCCCTTTATCATTTTTTATTGCATCTATTTGATTCTTCTCTCTTTTCTTATTAGTCTTGGTAGCAGTCTATCAATTTTGTTGATGTTTTCAAAAAACCAGCTCCTGGATTCACTGATTTTTTGAAGGTTTTTTTGTGTCTCTATCTCCTTTAGTTCTGCTCTGATCTTAGTTATTTCTTGCCTTCTGGTAGCTTTTGAATGTGTTTGCTCTTGCTTCTCCAGTTCTTTTAACTGTGATGTTAGGATGTCACTTTTAGATCTTTCCTGCTTTCTCTTGTGGGCATTTAGTGCTGTAAATTTCCCTCTACACACTGTTTTGAATGTGTCCCAGATATTCTGGTATGTTGTGTCTTTGTTCTCATTGGTTTCAAAGAACATCTTTATTTCTGCCTTCATTTTGTTATGTACCCAGTAATCATTCAGGAGCAGGTTGTTCAGTTTCCATGTAGTTGAGCAGTTTTGAGTGAGTTTCTTAATCCTGAGTTCTAGTTTGTTGCACTGTGGTCTGAGAGACAGTTTGTTATAATTTCTGTTCTTTTACATCTGCTGAGGAGTGCTTTACTTCCAAGTATGCGGTCAATTTTGGAATAGGTGTGGTGTGGTGCTGAAAAGAATGTATATTCTGTTGATTTGGGGTGGAGAGTTCTGTAGATGTCTATTAGGTCTGCTTGGTGCAGAGCTGAGTTCAATTCCTGGATATCCTTGTTAACTTTCTGTCTCGTTGATCTGTCTAATGTTGACAGTGGGGTGTTAAAGTCTCCCATTATTATTGTGTGGGAGTCTAAGTCTCTTTGTAGGTCTCTAAGGACTTGCTTTATGAATCTGGGTGCTCCTGTGTTGGGTGCATGTATATTTAGAATAGTTAGCTCTTCTTGTTGAATTGATCCCTTTACCATTATGTAATGGCCTTCTTTGTCTCTTTTGATCTTTGTTGGTTTAAAGTCTGTTTTATCAGAGACTAGGATTGCAACCCCTGCCTTTTTTTCTTTTCCATTTGCTTGGTAGATCTTCCTCCATCCCTTTATTTTGAGCCTATGTGTGTCTCTGCATGTGAGATGGGTTTCCTGAATACAGCACACTGATGGGTCTTGATTCCTTATCCAATTTGCCAGTCTGTGTCTTTTAATTGGAGCATTTAGTCCATTTACATTTAAAGTTAACATCGTTATGTGTGCATTTGATCTTGTCATTATGATGTTAGCTAGTTATTTTGCTCGTTAGTTGATGCAGTTTCTTCCTAGCCTTGATGGTCTTTACAATTTGGCATGTTTTTGCAGTGGCTGGTACCGGTTGTTCCTTTCCATGTTTAGTGCTTCCTTCAGGAGCTCTTGTAAGGCAGGCCTGGTGGTGACAAAATCTCTCAGCATTTGCTTGTCTGTAAAGTATTTTATTTCTCCTTCACTTTTGAAGCTTAGTTTGGCTGGATATGAAATTCTGGGTTGAAAATTCTTTTCTTTAAGAATGTTGAATATTGGCCCCCACTCTCTTCTGGCTTGTAGAGTTTCTGCTGATCGATCCGCTGTTAGTCTGATGGGCTTCCCTTTGTGGGTAACCCGACCTTTCTCTCTGGCTGCCCTTAACATTTTTTCCTTCATTTCAACTTTGGTGAATCTGACAATTATGTGTCTTGGAGTTGCTCTTCTCGAGAAGTATCTTTGTGGTGTTCTCTGTATTTTCTGAATCTGAATGTTGGCCTGCCTTGCTATATTGGGGAAGTTCTCCTGGATAATATCCTGCAGAGTGTTTTCCAACTTGGTTCCATTCTCCCTGTCACTTTCAGGTACACCAATCCGACGTAGATTTGGTCTTTTCACATAGTCCCATATTTCTTGGAGACTTTGTTCGTTTCTTTTTATTCTTTTTTCTCTAAACTTCCCTTCTCGCTTCATTTCATTCATTTCATCTTCCATCACTGATACCCTTTCTTCCAGTTGATCGCTTCGGCTCCTGAGGCTTCTGCATTCTTCATGTAGTTCTCGAGCTTTGGCTTGCAGCTCCATCAGCTCCTTTAAGCACTTCTCTGCATTGGTTATTCTAGTTATATCTCCAAGGTCATTTCGTTAGAGGGTACCTGGAGGTCTCTCCCATGGGGATGGAAAGCCTTTTCTCAGGTGACTGACTCCAAAATGAGGCTGTCATACTATAGTCCCCATGGATTGGGGTTGGCATGGCCACCAGCCTCTGCTAGAACCTGCTTGCCAATCCTTTGTGCCAATCCTTTGTGCCTGCTTTTTCTTCCAGAAGGTCCACTCACCCCTACATAGGGCACTTTGGCTTTTCTAAGTAAGTGAAATATGTCCCCACCTGTTTACCAAATGCCCCTCCTCTGTCTGCAAGCCGTTCTGCACCAACTCTGAACATTCTGATCTGTACCTGTCCCCATGCCACCCCATCTCACTGATTTATTATCTTTCAGGAAGAAGGAAGGGTTTTTCATAAGGTCTTTGAGTTAGCTAGAGAATGACAGCAGGTAGCTTATTCCAGCTTCCTTACCCCACCCACATGCATTGGTTGACCTAAGCCCTCTTGCCTCAAATTTCTGAGAATTTGTTTATCAGGAGATGCAATCAAAGAAGGGTATGGCGAGAACAATTCATATGCTGCCCTTTCCTACCTACCTTCGTGTTTCTAGTCTCAAGACAGAATCTGGTTCTGGTTCTGGTCCATGCGTCTTCCTTGGGCTGCGGTGACAGTGACCACCCTTACACTATACTTTCATGGATCTGGTGCCCACCAAAGAAGCCTGCCCTGAGAGGCACCAAGATGCAGAAAGGGGCAGAGCCAGCACCCACTCAACCCTGCCCGATGCAAGGCTTCCCGCTTCTCCAGCAAGGACAGGACTTGGGTTCCTCAAGGCCCCCTCCACCATAGCCACCACATGAGAAGGAAGGAAGAGGGGTTCATTTCCTTTCAGTCCGCCCATTGCTAAGGTTTCCACACCAGTAGCGGAGCTAATTTCTTCTGTGCAACAACCTGTGGCAACACCAGAGATGATCCTATTTTGCCAGTCTCTTTTTGTGTCTTCAGACAATGCTTACAGCACACAGACTTACTTGTTTTTGAAACAGAACATTTAAGGAGCAAATAAAAATGAGTTATTTCTCCCGCTCTGGATTTTCTCCTGGTCAGTGTCAGGTCTTACCTCCCTGGCCTTGGTTCTCTCCTTCATCCTTCCCAGAAATGTCCTTGGTTTCGAGCTTAGAAGTCCCAGCCTCCCCCTAACTTGGTTCTCCTAAATCTCCACCAGCCAGATACTCAGTCAAATTTTACTAAAGAATAGCCATCATCTACGGCACACTTACTACGTACCAGGCTCAGTATTCAACATTTTATCTGCCTTTGCTTCTTTCATTCTCACAATGCCCAATGAGTTAGATTCTATTATCATCAACATTTTGGGGGCTGAGGAAACAGACTTGGAGTTAAGTAATGTGTCCAAAATTCCACAATAAGGAAGTGGTGGGACCAGGACAGTTTGATTGAAAGCTTGAGTGTTTATAATGCTTCTCTTAAAGATAATATTATATTTATCACCTATTGCTCTGAATCTAGGAGCATGGCAAGACCTGTGTTTCCCAGAGGCCCTGTGTGTCCACAAGAATCATCCTTCTAGAGGTCAAATGACTGATGCCCCCTCCCTCCAGTGCTTTCCTCTTGGGCCTTCCCTGCCAGTTCCAGATTCTAGTCTGAGGACTCCCTCTAACTGTAGTTCATTCACCTAGGTCAAATAATTATTATAGCCCAAGAGAAATTAATGGTCTCCTGCTTCAACACTCGAGTAATTCACTTGGTTTACCAACTGCCTAAATTCCACACAAATTTATTGAGCACCTACTAGGTGCCGCATATCTGATAGGAGTTGGAAATAGAGAGGGTACATGATTGGTTTCCTGTAAGGGTCTCATGAACCAGTTGGGAAATGATCAAGTATACCATAGCCTAAGTGAGAGAATAGTATAGTATAGTATGGAGAGGTGAGGGTAGCTGTAAGATTAGGGAAATCTCCGTAGTGGATAGGAACCCAAGCTTTGGAGCCAGGTTGGACTGGGTTCAAATCTGAGTGATTATGGGCAAGTTATTTAACCTTTCAGTGTCACAGTCCTTGTGTATAAAATGGGAACAATGATGCCTCTCTTGTAGGGTTATGAGGAGTAGTACTCCAGAAAGAAGTTATAGTTATAGTGGCAATTGCTAATATTTACCTAACATATTTGCTCCTGGTAAGTAGAAAGATTAGCAATAATATTTGAATTGGGATTTGAAAGATGAGTTAGGGTTTGATTGGGCAGAGGAGAGGTGATAAGAAATTATAGATATAAAAGTATCACATTTGAAGTCATAGAAACATGGAAGTGTATAGTATGTCTCAGGATTATCAAGTACTCTGGTGGCTAGAGCATGGGCACATGGCATAGGGGAGAAGAAGAAATGATAGCTACATGGCATGAGAACTCACAGCCTTCACCGAGGTTTTGGAGTTCATTCTCTATCCGCCAGTGCCCCATCTTCCCACCCTAGGGAAGTGACACCATTTTATAATGTAAAAATACTCTAAAGATGGGAAAAAAGACCACATATGCTGCTGGCTGGGCTATACGCTGGAGCAGTCTTTCGGAAGAATATTTAGTAATAGGAATCAAAATCCTTTATAGTGCTCATAGCTCTTGAACTATTCATTTCGCTTTTCGGAATTTATCATAAGAAATTCACTGGAAGCATTTGGAACAATTTGTATGCCAGGATTTGTAATGGTCAAAGGTAAGAAATAATCTAAATGTCCAAAACCACAGGATTGGCTAATATTCTATTTATTCTATTCTATTATGTATTGGTTAATATTACATTCAAGCATTGGAATAGTATACAGTCATTAAGAATCATAGTTTTACAGAGGATATAATGACATAATGTTCATGATCTAATTTAAAATGAAGAAAAGTAGGCTGCAAAACAATATATAGTTTAAGCTCAATCTTGTGATTGGGGGGAAAGGAAAGGATGTATGTGGGAGAGAGAGAAGGAACAAGAGAGAAATAGGGTGATCCTATTGAGAATAAGTTTAGATTAAGGACTTGATATTCTTTGTTTTAAGTTATGGTTGAATTTATTTATTTTCTTTAATTCTTAATCTTTATTTTTATTGAGACAGGGTCTTGCTATGTTGCCCAGGCTGGTCTCAAACTTGTGGGTTTAAGTGATCCTCCTGCCTTAGCCACCCAAGGAGCTGGGATAATAGGCATCCCTCACCACTCCCAGCTGAGACTTGGTATTCTAAACACTTGCTTTGGGGGCATATATTTGCTCAAGTGATTTGCATGGGAGAGGGACACTGAGAAGCTATTTGGGAGTGGAAGAACTAGGGCTAGAGACAATAGAGAGAGGTCAATCAAGAGTTCATAACCCTAGGGAGGACAGAGCTCCCTTAGAGAAGGTATAGTGTCCCCCAGAGACCACAATGCCTAATGGAATGCAGAAGATGTTCGGTGGACAACCAGCAGACACTCTCGGGGCTTCCCAGAGATTCCCAGGGGGAGACGTTGCATCAGCTGGGAAAGGGCTCCAAGCCAGTGCATTCAGAACGTGAGCACTGAGTCGACATCTCTTGCAAGCACTTGTAGGCGCCAGTGACTGAAATGTCTGCATTATGTGTGGCTGTGTCTAGAAAAAGGAAGACGAAAAATAATCATTATCTCTGAGTATAAGATTATGGTTATTTTTTAACTTTTAAATAATTTTTCAAAAGTTTCTGTGATGAGTATTTTGTTTATTGTATTTTATTTTTTGAGACAATCTTGCTCTGTCACCCAGGCTGGAGTATAGTGGTGTGATCTCAGCTCACTGCAGCCTCTGCCTCCCAGATTCAAGCTAGTCTCCTGCCCCAGCCTCCTGAGTAGCTGGGATTACAGGCATGCACCACCACACCTGGCTAATTTTTGTATTTTTAGTAGAGACGGGGTTTCACCATGTTGCCCAGGCTGGTCTTGAACACCTGACTTCAAGTGATCCACTCGCTTTAGCCTCTCAAACTGCTGGGATTACAGGCGTGAGCTACTGCACCCAGCCTGTGATGAGTATTTTATAATAAGGAACATCACTCATTTTTAAACCATCTCTGGCTTCCTTATGTTCCTCTTGCCTCCACGCCTCCTGCTGCCCCACCACGCACACACACTCTGTGTTCTCATCTATGCATAAGAATGGAAACTCTGGCTTTTGCTGGGGTTCTGTCCCCCAGGGCACAAGAAGGAACCGGGGTGTAATAGGCCTGGGCTTGACTTGGTAGTTTGTAATCTGCCTAGCTGGCAGCCATGGCACAGCAAACTCAAGCTGGGTGACCTCCAGGCACTTCATACTTTTCGGCATTAATAAAAATCACTGCACTTTGTTGACTTTGCTATTTCCACCCACAGGGGAATGTACAAATACATGAAATGTACATGAAATCTGCTAAATGATCCATTTAACCATGTGGTAAACACTCTGTATACCTGTTTCCCCTGCCAAAACAGTCCCCTTTGTGATATTTTACAGGGTCATTTGATTTAATTCCCTAAGTCAACACAGGGTTTGTTTTCTTATAAAGGAAAAGAGGATAAGGCTTTTCAAAATTAACTGACTCAGGACAGTTTACCTTGAGGGTAAACCAAAGGACATTATGAGAAAGGGTGCAAAGGAGCTTCTGGGTTCTGGTAATGGTGTTTCTTAATCTGGATGCCGGTAACTTGGGTTTCCTTTGTGAACATTTATCAAGCTGTACACAGGATTTGCACATTCTTACCAGTCTCACCACAGCCTCCTCCTCGACCCTCTCCTCCTGGCTGGCTCCCCACATCCTTCACTCCCCAGGAGGGCGTCTCATGACTCCTCAGTGGAGGCACTGCCTACTTTTTCCTGTTTGGGTGTCTCCTAGAACCTGCAAATCCCCTTCATAGCACTAATTGCAAGAGAAATAATCTGGCTGCTTTTGTGGTTATTGGTTTCATGTGTGTCTCTCACTAGATTCTAAGTCCACTGGGCTTGTGTGTCCGCTGGACCTGCTGCTGTGTTCCCTGAGCCTGGTGCAGTGCCTGGCAACATGGCATGAGAAACAGTTTGTAAGAGAATGTTGGAGAGGCAGAGAGGGAGACAGAACAGTGGGGTTGGGGGAAGAAGACAGAAAGGAGAAGGGGAAGGAAGGAGAGAGGAAGAGTTATGTCTCTCAAGATCTGGGTATTCTGAGGCATGGCTACAGGTTGGTGAGTGGGAGCACTCAGGAGTGTGTTGACATGATTGAGTAAGGAGTCTCTGGAGAAAGAAGTCTCTCTCAGAGAAGGTGGTCTCCCTGTGGGCAAGATTGGTTCAAGGACTGTAGCCTAGGTTCATAAGGGGAGGACGGGGACCCTGAGCCTAGTCTGGCTCCAGTTTTCTTCTGGCTCGAAGTGATTGCAAAAAAAGAGCTATTTCTTTGCATTTCTTTAGGACACTGAGCACTAAATGTCAGCGGCATGAGTGCAGGAGCCAGTCACATCAGGGGCAGTCATGGCGTGGCAGAGGAAGTGCAGGTATGGCCACAGCACAATGGCAATGACGGCATTTCCTACACCCACAGTTGGCACTCGAAGAACAGCCCTCACAGGCCAGGCTTGGACAGCCATAGCAGGATCAGTGTATTTGGTAGACACAGGTAGTGGCAGGGGAGGCCCCAGTGGGGCTCCGTGACACAGAAGCCATCACATACAGTGAAGGAGATCGAGACTCAGAGGGAGAGGAGGGCTGTGGTGGGTCCCATGCATGCCGCAAAGGACTGCATCTCAGGGCAGCTATGCAGTGCTCAGCAGGGAATGCCAGAAAGGCATTGGAAGCATTTAAGGGGCATGCCACACGGCCTTCAGAGTTGGAGCAAGTCCAGCTAAGAACTTACTGTTAGGTGTTGCCCAGTTTATAGCCTTCGGCTGGAATTCTCTGGAAAAAACAAATCACTGAGAATTGGCTTCTAAAGAGCACCTATAAATGGGAGGAAGAACACCAAAGAATCAAAGATGCCAGAAAAGAAAACAGCCCCTGGGATTTGTGCACAGGTGTTCTTGACAGGGTCCCTCACCTAAGCCATTCTTCCGGCACAATTATCACCCAGAGCGGCTTGTTTCTTGGCACCTAGAACACTCCATCGGGAGCTGTTTCCCTTTTTAACTCAGTACTCCCAAAGACTGCTCTGGGGATAACAGCTCCCACTCTTAGGGGGAAAAATATATTTTTAGAGATGGGAGATGACAAAACCATCATCAATAAGCAAGAAAACTCCCAATTAATTTTCTTGAGACACTGTCTTGTGATATATCCTTGTGGGTAGGGCTTTCTGAAGCATTTTCTCACCATTTTTTTCTGAAACTATGGCTTTCCAACATTTTTCATTGCATGCTCTATTAGTAAAATCATTTTGAACATGCACCACAGATATCTGCGTATTTATTCACTGATGATGTTTATGCAATAGTGTGTGTGTGTGTATTGTTTACTGTATTTATAGTGAAATTTCTAATAGAAGGTGTCCGCTGGGATGCAGGAATCCCACTAAACAAACACAAGGCAGACAGGGTAAGCATCATAATCCTCAGCTCACGGATTAATAGACTAAGATGGGAAGGGACTTGCCCAGGTCACACAGCCAAAAGTTGCAAAACTGGGGTTAAAACTCATATCCATACTTTCCAGCTTCTCAGATTCTTCATTCATGTGCCAAATATCCCTTTCTACTCATCAGAATTTGGGAATGGACCAGTCATAACAGTTTTTGGTGATTTCCACATTGTTTCCCTGTTTTACCTATTTTATCATTATTGCCTATAGCATAGGGTGTGCCATGCGATCAGGGTTCTGGAACTGGCTTCTAAAGAGCACTTATGAATGGGGATGAAGAACATCAAGGAATTAAAGATGCCAGAAAAGCAAATAGCCCCTTGGATTTGAGAACAGGAAACATGCACTTTACACGCCTCATCTCTTTCTGCCCCATCCAGCAAGCAGGGATGATGCAGAGACCTTCCCTGGGTCTCGCCATGCCCAGGAGTTAATGTGTTCTACAATGTATTTGTAGAAAGAAGATACTGCGTCTAGTAGAAAGAGATGTGATATGATTGACGTGGAGTGGCCACTCTTGATGCAGGAGACATGGCAATTGTACTTTCCTGTATGAGAATGAGGCCTGAAGGAAGGTTGCTTCCCTCAGTCTTTTCTCAGCAGAGGGGTTTTGTAAAACAAACCAAAACAAAACACAAATTCCCTGAAGCAGAATAAAGATAAAGAAACTTAAATATCTGGAAACAATGAAAACTGCAAGAGCCAAGAAACGGGCAGCTTAGGGGCCCCAGGAAGTGAGGTGGGATAAGGCAGAGATAGGCTTGGGGCGGAGAATCTGGAAGCTGTTGCTGTTTACATTCAATGTCCTCTCTCTCTCCAAGAGGTGGCAGGCCACTGCCCAATGCTGAAGTCACTGTTTAACGAAGGTGGAGCCTGCCTTTACCTGGTACACCCATATAAGGAAAAGCCTGAGGTCAGGAGTAAGCAGACACCAGCACTGCTCTTTCTCCAAGACGGCCGGCCATGCTCTCCTCCTCTGCCAGTCTCCTCCACCACTCTCTAACCTGAGAGCCTGTGGAACCTGCCCGTCTCCCCTCCTCCATCAGACACACCTGCCTAGGAAACAGGTAAGTTGTGCGTGGTCATGTCCCAGAGCTGTGGACCAAGGCAGTCCTCTAAACATTAGTGAGCATGTACAATTTTCTAGAGAGCTTCATGATGTCGCTTCTGAGTTCCCACCTCCCAAGGTACATATTCAGTAGCTCTGGAAGCTGGGTTTTTTTGATGCAGGTGGTCCAAGGATATGCTTTAAGAAAAACTAGGGCAAAGTGGGAGTTAATTTTCTAAGAGAATCTAATCCAAACTTTGCATATTTCATGCAAAGAGAGTATTTCTTAATCATTCTGTCACCTTCGATTTCTGATCATTCTAAGTTGTGACCTTGAGGGCTGTGTTCACCGTAAGGGACACATTGATGGCAGAAATCATGTCTTCTTTGTGCACTGATGTGTAGTTTCTGTTAGATAGTAGGTGCTTAATAAACATTTGCTAAAGGGAAGAATGGGACCTGGGCCCTTTGTTTTCTAATCATCTAGCTTATTAGTTATAGGAATGAAGTTGACAACTCTGGGTTAATCACAAAAGACAGATCATTACAACTTCAGAGATTCAGGAGGTTCCTATATGCCTCTAGTGGTGTCATGGTCACACACATGTGTCTCTGTAACTGCTAAAGTTATGTAATCTTTGAGATGTGATGCTGTTCTCAGGGAGACAGTTCCAGCTGCTCAGCTTGGACCCAAGTTAACCAGATTAGAATAAGTGCAGATATTTTCCCTCTATAGTTACAGTTGGGTCATGAACTACTGACTGTCCCATTTGTCCTGGGTCACAAACACAACTTTGGTTACCCCCGAGTGGCATTAACTAGACTTTCAATCAGATTATCCTCTTGAATTGTCTCACCTTTGTACCCACCTTGACATAAGTATTGTGGGTTTTTGTTGTTGTTGTTGTTGTTGTTGTTATTTTGAAGGTTGGAGGAGTGACAGCTGTAGGGAGGCTTACTTATTAGTAGATTGGTTGATGGAAATGTAATAATCTACCAACTGTGTAATAGGCAAAAGCTATATATAGCATGAGTTCATTATCCCATTTTGTAGATGGAAAAAGTGAGGGACCGGTGAGTGACTTGCTGCAAAAGTTTATACCAGATGCAAATGACAGAGCTGGAGTTCTGCTGTGCCTGGTAGGTACCCTGTCTTGTCCCCTAGTTATTTGGTTGTATTCAGTTACCCTCTTGAAAGAACACCTTAGAAGAAAAGATGCTATGAAGAAATGCACACATTAAGCCAAGCACTGTGGCTCACACCTGTAATCTCAACACTTTGGGAGGCCGAGGTGGACAGATTGCTTGATCCCAGGAGTTCAAGACCAGCCTGGGCAACATGGTGAAACCCTGTCTCTACAAAAATAAATTAAAAATTGGGGGTCTGGGAAAAAATATTAGCTACATGTGGTGGTGCACACCTGTAGTCCCAGCTATTGGAGGCAGGGGGAGGGGTCCATGGTTGAGGTGAAAGGATTGCTTGAGCCCAGGAGGTTGAGGCTTCAGTGAGCTATGATCATGCCACTGCACTCCAGCCTGAGTGACAGAGCAAGACCCTGTCTCAAAAAAAAAAGACCAACCTACTGGCCCTGAGGCTCACTCCGTATCAAGCATTGTGCTTGATGCTTCCATATGGTGAGCTGTGTGATTTGGGGCATGCTCCTTAACCTCTTGGGGGTCCCAGTTTCCTCATCACTAAGACATGGTAGCAACAGTAATCTACCCCAAAAGATCAGTGAAAGGATCAAATGAGATCCTATATGGAAAGCACTTAGCAGTACTTGAGCACATGGCAAGTGCTGAAGATATTTTAGTCATTATTGTTGACATTATTTTAGCCTGGGTTCTCTATAAAACAAAGCCTGAGGCAAAGCTTAAGTGCTACTTAGCACTTAAGGTAAGACACCAGGGGAGTGAGAGTCAGGGAAGTGGGAAATGGGAAGAGAAAAAGGGGAAGCAGTGAGGGATGATGTGCCACCACCTGGCCTCTCTTCACAAAGAGACATGACCAGCCACTTGGCCAAAGCAGGGCCCCTCTGGACTGGCGTTGCAGATGCATTGTGCCTTGGAAGAGTCTATCCGAG
Organism: Homo sapiens; assembly: GCF_000001405.40. Taxonomy (NCBI): domain Eukaryota; kingdom Metazoa; phylum Chordata; class Mammalia; order Primates; family Hominidae; genus Homo; species Homo sapiens. The sequence continues at coordinate 30,805,236 of NC_000002.12, read as the reverse complement.
CAAGGGTAGAGAGGACATTTATATGTTGGCTCACTCTGTCTCCTCTCTTATTGTTCAAAGCTTGCCCTATGGGGAGTTAACTGTCCTGCACTTCCAGCTTGTGTCTTCTGACCCCTGTGGCAGCCACTGGGAAAACTAGATCTAATTGCTAGAGGCTTGGCACCTCATCTGAGTCCAGAAGTGGTCAGAAGAGCCACTTCCTTGGCTGGAGTAAAAAAGGGACCAAGAGTCCTAGAGACAGGTTGAGGCTAAGAGAACCTGAGATGGCACCTAAGAAAGGTTTAATAAAGACTGAATTATCATTAATATCTGCTGAACACTGCGTACAGCACTAATGTTCCTGCCTAGATGTCACCTCTTTCTCCCATGAGAAAACCATAAAGGGGACTTTGGATAGGCTGGTCCATTCCATCTCTCCTCAAGGTTTGGAAGAAGTCAGGTTGAGGGCATCCTAACTCTCTCAGAACGTCCATGGTGGAGCATGCCACTGATAGACAGCAAGGAAGTCCACGGCCATGCAAAAGATGGGAGCAGAATCAAGAGGAGGTGTTGATTTTCTACCACCCTTGGGACTCTATCTTTTGGTCAAGTGTTTCCTAAAGCATGGTATACATAGAACACTAATTTTGGGGGCTGTTGCTGGGGGCTCCTTGATATAAAGCATTTATGATCAAATATTTGGATGAATGTTGCCTCCTACTCTTCCCTCCTCAGAGAGTTATGATTCCAATTTACTTAAAAAGGCTCTGTTCACGCCTGTAATCCCAGCACTTTGGGAGGCCGAGGTGGGCGGATTGCCTGAGGTCAGGAGTTCGAGGCCAGTCTGGCCAACATGGTGAAACTCTGTCTCTACTAAAAATACAAAAAAATTAGACAGGCATGGTAGCATGCACCTGTAATCCCAGCTACTTGGGAGGCTGAGGCAGGGGAATTGCATGAAGCAGGGAGGTGGAGGTTGCAGTGAGCCGAGGTTGCGCCACTGCACTCCAGCCTTGCTGACAGAGTGAGACTCTGTCTCAAAACAAACAAACAGAACAGGCTCTGAGAAAGCCAAAACAAAGGAACCAGTTGAACTGAGTGCACCAGAGCCTCCCATACTGAACTCCAGTTGGACCTGTGTTCATGGGCTCAGTCTCTTTTGTCTTGATTCCTGAATTCTCAGGGCACTCTCCTCCACTATGCACTACTTTTTGCTTTGCACAAACCCTGTTGAATAAAAAACTCTGCAGTATAAGGGAAGGCTGTGGGGGTGCATGAGAAGCTTTTACCAATCTGCAGAGCTCATTCTCCCGGGAAACAACCAGGAAAGCTCAGCCAAGCCTTAAGCCTGTTTCCTTGTCTCAATAATAGAGAGGTGAACAAGGCAATCCCCAAGGAGTCTCCCAGCCTCTTGTAATCCATGATACTCATGTTGAAAGGCAGCTAAAGGTCACCTCATCTATCTCTTGTGTTGCCTCAGAGACAAACTATTTAGTGAATAAAGAGATCCAAATTGTTAATACATGTTGTAGGGTTATGAAGTGGAGATTTGCCCACTGCCGCCCTCTCTGGTGAGTTCAACATGAGATGGGACGTGTACCATGTCCCACGGTAGTGGCTGGGGTGACGAGCTGCCTCTAAGGACTTGGGCTGGAGGACAGCCAGGACTCTGGGGTTAACATCCTCACTTCGGCCAAGTAAGTCCCAAGGGACCTTTAAAATTGGGAGCAGCCAGGAGGTTTGTTTCCTTTCCCTCTGAAAGAATGGTCCCTCTGGCAGCACTCTGCCCTCTGATCTCCACTGGTCAGCCCTGCCATGTCCACCTCCCATGCCTGTGGACCAGGTCTGACCAGCACCTCCCACACAGTTCAGAGGACTGAACAAGACCCTGTCCCAGCCTGCAGACCAGAGACACAGAGGGGCGCTGTCTCCCATCACAGCCACACACTGCCTTCGGGAGATGCACCCAGTGGCCCACTAGAGACCACTGGTTCTCAAAGGTCTGAAGCCAGAGAGGTGATGGAGAGATGACAGGAATCTTTGCCCCTGTTCTTCTCGCCAAACATTCTCTTTTCTCCCCACTCTAATCCTTAACCAGACGTGGCAGCCAACCAGCTGAACTACATATACCATTAAGCCCCACCTCAGAAAACTCTAGCTTTCTGCAGGAACTTAAGATACAGTCGGATGGCATGGCCCTGGGGGAGATGAGGGCAGAGGCTTTCTGCAGGGGCTGGCTCCTGGGACTCCAGCCAGCAGACCACCAGATGCACGTTCCGTCAACCCAGGGGCTGTCCTGAGCCAGTGCTGCCATCCCCTCAGACCTGTCCTCAAGCCTTCTTCCTCAGCCAGGTCACCTGCCCTAGGTGGGCGTGGGGATTCCCCACAGCTCCCTGCCTGTTCTGGAACATAGGCCAGACAGCAAGAGGGGTGGAGGTCTCCTGGGACTGCATCTACCTCTCTTTTCAGGCAGAGGCTCCCAGGCCTGTACCCCCTGCCCCAGGTCCTGTCCTTCCCACCATCTCCCCAGTGGACCCTGCAAGAGCTGGTTTTTAGGCCATTTCTGCTCCTCTCTCTTTCCTCTGTCTTTCCTTCTTGCCCTCAGTCCTTGCTTTCAGAAGCTCTGGCTCTCCCCGTTTCTTAGGGCTGGAGAGGGAAAGAATGACAGAAGGAACAAGGGAAACCTCAGAGGTCTAACCACCACCCCCCCCCCCCAGCCTGCCTTTCTCTGCTTCACTCACTCACTTAGACACGTTTACATTCACATTTACACACACACACACACACACACACATACACACACACACATTCTAAGCTCCTTCTTTTTCATGTTGCTTTTTGACATATTTAATATAGAAAGCTCTTGTTTTTGAAAAACATTTCTCCTCCCACTGGTCCATATCCTGACCCCAGAGATGGGACCCCATCTGCTTGGATGGAAGCTTGCTCCAGAACAAGAAGGTTGACCTGGGCCTTCCTGGGGACCTTCATCGTGTGTCTCCGAGCACCTGGTCAGAAAAGGGAATGGCTCCCTTAGTCAACGTGCTTGGCCACTGGTACTACTGGATTTGTCTCCAAACCCCCGCCACCCCCCAACCAGAGCTCCCAGTCCAGGGCTCAGCCTACTCGCCTCTGCAGCCTCCACAGGTCAGGCCTGAGAGACCCAGAATGGCCAGGCACAGACTGGGATGCCCAGGTAACCGGGCCAGGGGTCCATCAGCCGGCTCTACTGTCCTTTCTCCGCTGTGTTGTGGCTAGACGCAGCGCAGGGGGCGGTGGTCTTTAAAAAGCTCCATCTGAGAGTCACATCATCTGCATTCCTTGTTTTCCAGCCATGCCTTGAGAATTCACATCTTGAGGGATAAGAAAACAGGGTAATATTTGGACACAATTCTGGCACCGTCAATGCTGGGCTGGCGTGAGAATCCCTTCCCCTGGTGGACTTTGTCCTCCCTGCGTCTGGGCCATCTCATTCCTCCCACTCTCTTCCTCAGTCTCCATCCCTGCTGACTGGCTGTCCCTGGCTCCCTTTCTGTCGCCCAGCCAGTCTTTGACTTTCTCTTTGTGTGGTTGCTCTGTCTTGGCCTCTGCCTCATCCATTTTTCCATTTTCTTTTTCTTCTTCTTCTTCTTTTTTTTTTTTTTTTTTTTTTTAAGACTGAGTCTCCCTCTATCACCCAGGCTGGAGTGCAATGGCATGATCTTGGCTCACTGCAACCTCCGCCTCCCGGGTTCAAGCGATTCTCCAGCCTCAGCCTCCTGAGTAGCTGGGATTACAGGTGCACACCACCACGCCCAGCTAGTTTTTGTATTGTTAGGGTTTCACCATGTTGGGCAGGCTGGTCTCAAACTCCTGACCTCGTGATCCACCCGCCTCACCCTCCCAAAGTGCTGGGATTACAATCATGAGCCACCGTGCCCAGTACTCATCCATTTTCTGTTTGTCTTTGTCCATTTAAATGAAAAAGCCTAAGAAGATAGGCCCAGGGAAATCCTTTAAGAATAAACGGATTATATAAATGTGGCCTCAACTTCCAAAGAGCCTTAAAAATAAGAAAGGAAAAAGACCCCAAACCTAGCCTTCTGCGGTTCAAGCCTTTGGGAAGTGAGCAGGCCCGGAGCCGAGGGTCTGCCTGGGGAGTACTCGTCTGAAACAGCGGCTCTCAAGACCCTGCATTTTAACTTGGTACATGGCAGGCCCCAACTTCCTAAGTCTACTAAATTTGTATTTGTTTCAGAAAAAATTTGAATTAGCTAAATGAGAAGTGCATCTCTCCTTCAAGGATGAAAAAAGAAAAAAACCATGCTGGGAAATCTGAGCACAGATTAAATATTACACAGTGTTTCTGAGACTCATGTAGTTTTAGTTCCCAGAAAAAAGAATGCTCTACCTCATCCTTAGAATATAGTTGAGTCTACTCAACCCTATCATAATTGAATGACACCTATCAAATGCTCTAGGGAGGGGAAAGGAGATTTCCATGCAAAGACAAGTTTCTTTTTTGTGTGTATTGGCACAAACCTAAACTTAATTGAAAGAAATAATACATTCTGTGGGTTCCTATTTTATTGTCTAACAGTATCATTGAGGCTACATAAGAACCTGTTGTCTCAGTTCCAGAAATACAGAATCTTACAGTAGAAAAGCACTTAGAAGTGCGAGACCAACCTCCTTAGTGTTCCAAGTGGGGAGACCGAGGCTAGGGGAGGGAGCGACGTGCCCAAGGCCCATAGAGTTTAGTGGAGCTTCACAGATTCTTTCTGTCAGGCAAACCTTCTCTTGGTTACCCCCAGGGTCTCCTGAGAAGAACCCATCAGCAGAGCTCTCTGAGCTATGATTCAGGAAGAGGCTGGGTCCACACAGCAAGGGCAGTAAGGAGAGAAGAGGCTGGGGTTGCCCTGCCTGTGGAACCTCAGTAAGTCGCTTCTGCTTTCTGCCTCTCTTGCGCCAAGCTGTTGATCTCTTTGGCAGTCAGCTCCAGTGCTGAACCCAGAGTCACTGGCAGGCAATAGAGAGGTCTATTCTGAGCACTTACTTCTCTGGTACCTGTTCCAGGTCTACGTAGTTTTCTTTCTTTCTTTCTTTCTTTCTTTCTTTCTTTCTTTCTTTCTTTCTTTCTTTCTTTCTTTCTTTCTTTCTTTTCTTTCTTTTCTTTCTTTCTTTTCTTTCTTTCTTTCTTTTTTTGAGATGGAGTCTCACTCTGTAGCCCAGGCTGGAGTGCAATGGCGCAATCTCGGCTCACTGCAAGCTCTGCCTCCCGGGTTCATGCCATTCTCCTGCCTCAGTCTCCCGAGTAGCTGGGACTGCAGGCGTCTGCCACCACACCTGGCTAATTTTTTTGTATTTTTAGTAGAGACGGGGTTTCACCGTGTTAGCTAGGATGGTCTCGATCTCCTGACCTCGTGATCCGCCCACCTTGGCCTCCCAAAGTGCTGGGATTACAGGAGTGAACCACTGCGCCTGGCCCTGTGTAGCTTTCTACATCTGAAGACACGAGAGAGGTTTCCTTCATTTCATTTCATGGCCTCTTCCCTGGCCCTCGGTGGATCAGAGGTTATCTCAGAGGATGAGAAACACTAGCTTACCTCTGCCCCTCTCAGCCCTGATTAGACACAAAGTAGGATGCCCTCGGCAGGGACGGAGGCATGCTTTGCTCACAGGCCAGATCACCCCAGCTTTGAAGCTGGGGGCAGGACAGGAGTCAAGCCCAAGCGCTGCCTAAACTTCTTCTGTTTCACCTTGAGCCCCACTTTCCCCTTCTGCAAAGTGAGCCCTGCATAGTCTTCCTCTGAGGTCTGCCTTTCTGGGGGCCACTAATCCCACCATGGTATTCAGGCCACACATGCATGGAGACTTACTGAGATGATTCTGAAGTGCAGAGTGGCTCAGGGACAGCACTGGTCTGGCGGTTAAGTTCCATCTTCAAACCCGATGTTTAAGCTCATTCTCACACTTACACCATCTCACATAAGCTCTTTGAGAAATACTCACATGTTCTTCCAACTTGCTGTAGATTTGTATACACACAAAATTTTCTGTCTTCTTCCCTCTCTCTCCCACCCACTCTCTCTTCCTCCTCCTTCCTTTTCCCCCTCTCTGTCTTCCTTCCTTCTTCTTACCCCCTTCTTTTGCTCTCTTCTCTCTCTCTGCTTCATTCTCTCTCTGTCTCCCTCTCTCTCCTCAAAGCCCTGAGGTATGCCAAGGTGGTATATAGCTGAAAGTGGTTTGCACATCTTTTTCCCACCAGAGAGCAGTTAAGTGCCTATTTTCTCCACTCGGGTAGCTAAATTATTCTCGATGTGTTAAACAGTGTAATTAAACACACACATACACACACAAGTGCACAGGCCCCTTCCCCCACCCTTCCTTGTTCCTTGTCAGCAGAGAGAGTGTCAGCCCCAGCCTTCAAGCTCTGTTAGTTTTAATTTGAGTTGTGGAATTAGTAATGGGTTTTGCTGGAACACTGTTGTGGGAAATAGATTGCTCCTCGTGCAGGGTTTGGGCACCATTTCAAATGAGTATTTGTTAAGGGGAAAACCGTCCCCTGTCGTGTTCTGCTACATTACATCAGATTTATTTCCATTGTTCTGAAAAACACCAGCCAGGAGAGGGCCGCAGGCAGCACTCCTGGGCAGGAAACCATTGAATGCAGCTTCCTGTTTCTTAGCTGATTGAAAACAAAATGCAAACAAAATTACCCTTTGTTGCTGGGATATGCTAGGAGCATCCTGCGGACAGGGACACCAGAGCAACCTGTCACTGGGGCAGGGAGGTGGTTTCATCACTGGCAGAAAGTCACTGAGTGGTTTAGTGCCCAAAATATGACACTGAAGAAAAGCAGAGAGAGAGCTCAGTAGGTTGAAGTTGGAAGGGATCTGCCCAATCCAAAGGCTCTCCTGGGACCCCGTGTAGAGTCATCCAGCCTCTGCTCAACCATTTCCACCCAAGAGTGCTACGGCCTTCCTTGTTCTGTGGTAATTCATGTCATTGGAAGTTCTCTTCTTCAGTACCATGCAATAAGGCTGCATGTGAATATTTACATTTAAATGCAAATTATTTAAAATTGAATAAAAATTAAAATCCAGTCCCTGAATTGCACTAGCCATCTTTCAAGTGCTCAATAGCTACGTATGGCCAGTGGCCACTGTATTAGACAGCACAGATATAGAACACTTCCATCATTGCAGAGTCTAATCAAAATCACTCTTCCCCAAATTTCTGACTCCTTCCACCGTCTGAACTGCACAGATCACATGTTCTTCCTTTGCGTTCATATCCTTTCCACTGGACATGTGTTTGGCCTCAGGGACACCTGGCCATCGTGTAGGACAGGGTAAGCAGAGGAGGAAAAAGCCCCCTCAGACAGGATAGAGGCTGTGGGACACTGGCCCAGCTGGAGATGCTGACAGATAGCTTGGTCTACAGCATGGCTTAGGGCCAGAGGCAAGGGTGCACCCAGTATTTCTGCCAGGCAGGTAGAGGAGATGACAGTCTCAACGCATGGAAAGAACACAACTCTGGAACCTGGAGAGACCCGAGGTTGGGAGTTCAGAGGTGACTGGCAGGTGCCTGGTATGCCCACCAGCTGGTGCAGGGTTGTAGTCACTGGGCTCAAGTTCAGGGCCAGGCAGGACACTCAAGGAGTTGCTGATAGCATAATGGACACAAGCTTTTATTATGTGCCACGCCAAGCCCTTTACAAGAATCTTCTCAATTAATATCCGTCTGCTGCTACGAGGCTGGTTTTATTACCTCCACCTCCCGTCCACTTTATAGGTAAGGAAAGGAGGCTCAGAGATATTAAGAGTATTGGCCAAGATCATTCAGTCAGTAAGAGACAGCTGGATTCAAACCCAAGTTTCAACCTGATTCTATGTGCCTGTGAGCACTGTTCCATGCTGCCTCTTTTTCCTTTTTCCTTAAGACACAAGGCAGAGTTCAGTTTTCTGAACTAGAGCATAATCTTGGCGGTAGGGAAACTTAGGGGTTGGGAGTACAGTTGTGGGGCCAGAGGTGGTTAAATATCTGCTCTCTTACAGCAGGATTATTCTGGAGGGAGGGGGACCTGGGCTGCAGGGGCTGAGTCTGAGGATCACTGTAGACCCCTCAGTCGGCCTTCTGTCCAGTAAACCTCTCTAGATCTCTGACCAGGAAGGGGTTTCCAGGCTTCCTGTCTATTTAGCTGGACTGCCTCCCGCCCGTCTGGCACATTTTTGCCAATATGAAAATTTGCCACCTCTTTCAGGTGGATATAACTGCATGCCAGGAGCCCATGCTTGCAAGCAAAGGGCTTGCCTCCCTGCCAGGCATGCTTATGTTACTCAAACACTCATTTTCAGATACCATTGAGAGTGCCGATAAGCCTCTTGGAATGTGGCCCCTAGAGCTGGGCTAGCCTGTCTAGAGCAGTGCCTTACTGCTGTTGAATCTGGTCAGAGCCTGCCAAATCTTTCATAGTTTTGTCTCATTTTAAATAGGAAGTCAAGTGAGGCGTACAAAATATTTTCAAAATGAAATTTAGCCAAGACAGATCCTGCTCACTATTTACTTGCATAGTTAACTTTTTAAATGTAAAGACAGGTTTGCAGTTTCCTTAGTTAATTTCATCTTCTTGGTTTTGAAGTCATTTAGAATTTTGATTCTGCTATCTGCTTGGTTAATTGCTCTTGATTTCCACTATTAAAAATGATGAAAGAGTTGAAAAGGATCTTCATTTTTATTTCAACATCTTCTTTAAGGACCAAGATAAAAATGTAGAATAGGACAGGACACAGGACAGAGCTCTGTGACTATTACAGTGCAATGATTCTTAGCTATTCCAGACCATTCATCCATGATCTCTGGGTCAAACTGCGAAATCTATTTACTACACTGTATTCTACTTTACTATGCTACGTTGCACTGTCATAGTACGTGATATACAACCTACTCAATGTAGTCTACACACAGGGAATAGGTGGAGATTTTATCAAATACTTTTTAAAAATCAAGACTATATATATACGTATATATATATGCACACATATATATATACATATATATGTGTATATATATATACACACACATATATATGTATATATATATACACACATATATATGTATATATATATATACACACATATATATATGTAATTCTCTTCCTGCAAAGTAAGGACTCTATTTTGGGGAAGAAAGGAAAAGGGAGGGAAAATTAAGTAATTGGCTTTGGCAAAGCTATATTTGCTAATACAGATACCAGCTTTATTTCCTAAGTACTCAAAGTATTTCTCTGCAAGTCTATTTCAGATTTTGATATATATGTTGGACTTCATAAAAATATTATTATAGAGCTATAAGAAATTTTTAAATCAGTGTTTTGGAAGAATGTGTTAATTACAAATTTTCTATTTTAAAAAGAGAATCTCTTACAAAGTTTCTTACATTAAATTCCCATAAGAGTTAATATTGGCTCAATTTATAAAAATTAAACTTAAAGCAAATATTTGTAATACATTTGTATTAGTGTAAAGAATATTGATGTTCATCAAAAGACACTGTAAAGGAGTTAAGAAGATAAGCCACAAACTGGGAGAAGATATTTACAAGACATATGACCAACAAAAGACGAATATCCAGAGTGAGTAGTGAATTCCTACAAATCAATAAGAAAAAGACAACCCAATAGACAAATGGGCACAAAATATGAATATTCATTCCTCAAGAGAGGGAACATGAATGGAGAATAAACATATTGAGAGATGCTCAATTTTACCAGTAATCAGGGAAACAAATTAAGACATAGGAGTTACCACCTACTCCCACGTGATGGGTACAAATAAAAAGCCTGCCAATACCAAGAGTTAGTGAGGATATATAGCAATGGCAACTCTTTTACACTGTTGGTGAAATTATAAATTGGTACAACCTTGGACAATAATTTGGCATACTTAGTGACGTTGAGTATGTGCGTTTCCTAAACCCAAAAATTCTACTCCTTGTAATATAAACTAGAGAAACTCTTGCATGTTTATCAGGAGATACGTACAATAACATTTATAGCATTATTTTTCATTAAAACAGAGAAGAGCATTAAATGTCCATTGAGAGGAGAAGTACAAATAAATCATAGGGTAACATACAGCAGTGAAATAAATGAAATCCCGCTACTTTTTAACCATGGGGTGCAGGGAGAAGCAAATTACAGAAGACTATATAAATTATATATAGCATTTAATTTTTGAAACAACTCTACTTAGAATATACAAAAACTGCATATGTTTAAGGTATAAACTTTGATGAGTTTTGATGTGTATACACATGTGAAATCATCATGACACTCAAGATGAAAATATTTCTATCACCCCCAAAAGTTTTCTCAAAACCCATTCCTCCCTCCACCCCCATTTCTGAGCAACCACTGAACTTCTTTCTGTCATGGTACATTAGTTTGCATTTCTAGGATTTTTTTATAAATGGAGTCATATAATATGTATTCTACTTTGACTGGCTTTCACATAGCATAATGATTTTAGAGATTTATTCATGTTGTTGCATGTATCAATAATTCATTTCTTTTTATTGCTGAGTAGTACTTTATGGGTACATCACAATTTATTCATTCACTTTTGATGGACATTGGATTGTTTCCAACTTTTGGCTATTAAATATGTCTGTTTTGATTATGCACAAGTCTTTGTATGAACATATGCTTTCATTTCTCTTGGGTAAATTCCTAGGACTGGAATGGCTGGATCATTTTGAAGGTGTATGTTTTAACATTTTAGGAAACTGCCACACTGTTTTCTAATGTAGTCATACCAATTTACATATCTACTGAGAGTGTATGAAAGTTCCAGTTTTCTATCTCCCCATAAACAGTGTGATCAGTCTTTTTAAATTTTAGGCCATTAGAAAATGGCCTATAGTGAGCTTTCACCATGGTATGAATTTGCATTTCACTGATAACTTATGATGTGGAACATCTTTTCAAGTTGGGTTATTGCTTGTTTTTATATACTCTTTGGTGATGTGTCTTCAAATCTTTTGGCCATTTTAGTGGGTTTTTTTTCTGATTATTGATTTGTAAGAGTTCTTTATATGTTGTGGATTCAAGTCCTTTGTCTGATATACGTGCTGCAAATATTTTCACGTAGTCTGAAATTTGCATTTTTGTTTTTTTAATGGTGTCTTTTAAACTTTGATGAAGTCTAATTTATCAATTTTTTTTCTTGTATGGCTCATATTTTTTGTATTCTATCAAAAACACATTTACCTACCCCAAGTTTGCAAATGTTTTCTTCTGAAAGTATTATAATTTAAGTTTTACCTTTAGGTCTGTGATCATTTTGACTTGGTTTTTGTGTGTGGTGTGAAGTAAGATCCATGTTTGTTTGTACTTTTCCCATTTAGAAATCCTGTTGATCCAGCACCATTTTTTTGGAAAGACTTTTCTTTCCCCCATTGAATTGCCTTGAAACCTCTCTCAAATTAATTGGCCATATATGTGTTGATTTATTCTAGATTCTCTACCCTTCTCCATTGATCTATTTGTCTATATTTTTGCCAGTACAGTAGCTTTATAATATGTATTGAAGTCAGGTTGGGTAAGTCCTTCAGTTTTTTCTTCTTTTTATAAAATTGCTTTGGTTATTCTAGGTTCTTCGCATTTAGATATAAATCTTAGAATCTGCTTATCAATTTCTAACAAAAAAAAAGCATGCTAGAATTTTGGTTAGGATTGTATTGAACCTATAGAGAAATTTGGAAAAAACTGCCATCTTGGCAGTATTGAGCCTTCCAATAAATGAACCGGATATATCTCTCCATTTATTTAGTTTTCCTTTAATTTTTCTCAGCAATGTTTTATAGTTTTTTAATGTAGATATCTTTAATGTCTTTAATGTTATATTTTTTCCCAAGTATTTTGTATTTTGGATGTTACTATTCTCCTATTTTTTGTTGCTATTATATAATAATATAATTTTTTAATATTAACCTTGTATCTTGTGACCTTACTAAATTTAAGTATTAGTTCTAGTAGTTGTTTTGTAGATTTCCTACCATCAAAATACCAAAATAGGACCTTCTTGTTTCTGATCTTTATGCCTTTAATTTTCTTGTTGCATTGGCTAGGACCTTCACAACAGTGGTAAATAGAACTATAACAGTGGGCATTCTTGCCTTGATTCTGATTGTAAAGGGAAGAAAATGCACTTTCCATCATTAAATATTATGTTAGCTGTAAATTTTTCACAGATACCCTCCTGAGGATGTTACCTACTATTTCTAGTTTTCTAACAGTTTTTATCATAAATTATGTCTTTGTAGCTTTTTACTGTGGTAGATTGCAGGTGGATTTTTAAAAATATAAATCAACCTAACATTCCTGAAATAAACCCAACTTATGATGTGGTATCTTTCTTCTTCTTCTTTTTTTTACATTATTGGATTTGATTTGCTAAAATTTTAAGGCTCTTTGCTTCTCTATTCGTGAGAATATTGCTCTGTAATTTTTTTTCAGGAAGAAGATTTCTTTATGAGGTTTCGTTTTTAGTATTTTGCTGAGCTGATAAAAATAAGTTCAGCCGTATTTCCCTTCTCCTCTATTTTTTGAGGAAGTTCACGTAAGATTAGTGTTACTCTGTCCTTGAAGGTGTAATAGAATTCACTAGTGAAACTATCTGAGCCTAGGGGTTTCTTCTGGAGAAAGCTTTGGATAGTAAATTCAATTTCTTTACTATATGTGGCATTATTCAGATTTTCTGTTTCTTCTGTGTCAACTTTGATAAATTGTATTTTTCAAGAAATTGATCCATTGTATGTAACTTAGCAGATTTGTTGGCATTGGGTGGTTCATAGTATTCTCTTATTAGCCCTTTAATGTCTATAGGATGTGTGGTGATAACCCCTTTATCAAATGATAATATTGGCGATTTATGTTTTCTCTCTTTCACTCTTGATCAAGTTGACTAGGGGTTTGTCAATGTTGTTGATCTTTTCAAAGAAGCAGATTTTTGCTTTGCTCATTTTATCTGTTGTCTGTCTTCTGTTTGATTAATTTCTGCTCTTATCCGTCTTCTGTTTTACTAATTTCTGCTCTTGTCTTTCTTATTTATGTCCTTCTACTTATTCACGTCTTCCTAATTCTCTTATGATATTATCTTTGACTCATAAATTATTTAAAAGTGTGTTTAATTCCAGATATTTGGGGTTTACCTAAATATTCTATTGTTATTGAATTCCGCCTGTGAATTTGCATGTAGAAGAACAACACGTAGCTCAGGGAAAAGAGAGAAACCGGGGCAATAAATGCCCTTTTCATGTTTCTGGGCAGATGTAATTTAGGTGATTTATCTGTGTATTCTTACAACTATTTATTTCTGAGAGAGAGAAATACAAGCAGGTTAGGACAAGATTAGAGTCAGATAAATAAATAATAATGAACATCTTTTCATAAAATATTTCATGGTTTAAATCTCCTTCCATATATTTTCTTATTTAATTTTTCAACAAAGTATCATGTTCCCATTTGACAGATGAAGAAACAGGTGTTTAGTGTGTATGAGGCAGAATGAGGACTTGAGTCAGGATGTTCTGAAGTCACTTAACTCTTATGCATCTTTTCCATGAAATGTTAATAAAAGTTCTCCAATAAAAGGACTTACTGGTTATATGTGTGAAACACTGGGAGCAAACTTAAGTTTCTTTATCGAAGGCTTTCTTGGAGCTTTTTGTGAATTTCTGTAAAGACTGTTCAGTATCAGATGTTTTCCAAAATAATTTCATCTCATAATTTGTTATTTGTGGAGTGTTTCATGAAGCAACTGCTTCACAGAACACACTCAAGAATAGCTGATATGTAATATTTAATCTGCTGACACTCAGGAGATTTTATTGAATACCTACTATGTGCCAGGCCTAGCGCTAGGTGCTGGCATATCAAGATACTGCTAAGACATAGTTGTATGGCTCAGCAGTATCTAAGACATATCTCCCATTAAGGAGCCCTCATCATTTTTCCGTTAATTCAAATAATGTTCACATACTTATCACTGTTGCTGCTCTGTCATTTGTTCTTGTGTTCACTGACATCCACTGTCTATTCTCTGAGAACCTTACCGACATGACCCAATTCCCCTTTGATCTGCACACTTCCTGCAGTATGCAGCCAGGGCTAGGAGAGTTGTTGGATCAGGCTAGGGTTAGTCACTGCCAAGGCCTGAATTGTACCGTCCCCCTCCCCCAACAAATTCATATGAAACCCTAACCCCCAACATGATTGTACCTAGAGATAAGGTCTTTAAGAGGCAATTAAGCTTAAAAGAGATCATAAAAGTGAGGACTAATCTGATAGAACTGTGGTCTTATAAGAAGAGGATGAGGGAAAGATCTCTTCCCCACCCTCCACCACATACTGGCACTCTGATCTCTGACTTCTAGCCTCCAGAACTGTGAGAAATAAATCCTGTTGTTAACCCATTTATGCCTAGTGTTCCATTATTGGAACGCTAAGCATGTGGGAGTTATTTATATCCTACTGCTCAAGGTCATCACCAAGGTCTGACTGCAAACATCTAAAAAAATTGCAACCTCAGGCATAAATGCAGTTAAGCCCCTCGGTTGGTGGTATTTTGCTATGGCAGCCCAAGCTCACTCAGTCACCCAACTCAGCAAAGGACACAGGGAAGCTCGTTTCGTAGACACCAAGGGGAGCTAAAGAGGCTTTGTAGCCCTAAGCCACGGCTCCTGCTTGCTTCTCAGCCTAATTCTGAGCTTGACTGATGAGCTCACACAAGCTTCTTACATGAAGAACTTTATATCAATTATTTTTGTGATGTTTCTAGCTCTCCTTGTGTGACTTTTCTTGCAACACCCAAGAGCTGCCCCAGCAGCAAGATAAACTTTATCTTGAATATCAGGTAGGCCTTTCAGCAATCTTTTTTTTCCCTTAAATTAACAAAGCTGAGTCTTCTTCTGCCTTTGGCTACCCTGCAAAGTGAGACAGATTGGGTAGAGAAGAGAGGAAAGAAGCAGAAAGCCCTCCCAAAAGTGACAGCAGGAAAATCAGGTGGTCCTCTTCTGCTGTGCACAAAAGTGAAATGTTGTCAGGTGTTGTGGGCCCTTCCTGAGAACATGAGCCTACAGGCTGTTCCCTGGCGAAGCCAAGAGCAACTCAGAGGAAAGAACTATGTGTGTGGAGGCGGGAACAAGCTTCCCCTGCCTGCTTCTCCCTTCCCCATCAAGAGTCTCCTCCCAGAACAGCCCACCTCCGCAGCAGCAGACACCCAGCCTGCTGCCTGTCCCCAAGCCTTCCCTTCCCCCAGGCCTGGGCAGCCCATGTAGTGAATGCAGAGCAGTAACAGAGCCCAGGGCCCAGGTCTGACTGACCATCCTGGTCCTCACCCTGCAAGCCCCTCTGAGCCTAGCCTGTCCTGGGTATGAGCAAGTCCTCATCTTAGACAGTGTTGGGCCTCTGCACAGTCCTTTCCTGCTCAAAATAACAATGATCATCATCCTAATAACCACCATGTATTGGCTGCTTTGTACTTACCAGTCACTGTGCTGCGTGTTCTGGGAGCATGGTTTCATCTGAGTCTCACAACAACCCTATAACATGTGTAATAGTATCATCATCTCCATTTCACAAATGAGGCAAGTGAATCTTAGAATGGGAATTCCTAAAGTCTGGCCAGTCCTCCATCCAATAGTGCACAGTGGGGGCCCCCCAGATGGACTAGGAACTGATCCTCGCATATAAGACCTTTGTATGATTCCAAAGGAGAAATGAAGCAAAATTCTTTAGAATTTCATTTTTATATGCAATTAAGGGCTACTTACAGGCAATCCCATAATTGTATTATTAAGGGTAACTACAATTTGGTTTTCATAAACCAAAACTAGCTCATTGCTAGAATTTATCACACATTGTAATTCAATATTTTCCTGAGAGGTAGGAGGCTTGGCAATGCTATACTGGTTCCACTGTCCCCGAGCATGCACAGAGAATTGGTAGACCCATGATTTTCACAACTCTTCATTATCGAGTGCCATCGCCTTTTGTCTTGAATTGACAATCAATTTCTATCACTGTTTTCTTACTCTTGAATGATATCTTGACATTTCAGCTTTATCACTATTTAATTTGTTGCGGGCCCTCTTTTTAACCCTATTTTGAGTGGTGAGACATACTGAATATTTTGTGCCATTATTCTATAAGAACTCAATTGAAGAAATGTACATGTGTATTAGGTTAAACTAAACAGAGCTGTTTGTATTTAACCATTTCTTACCTTAGGTTAAACCCTATGAAACTGACTATATTCAACCATTTTTGACCTACAAAAATGGCAGTTCTGTATGGTCCAATCTAATAGTTCAAATGTAAATGTAAATTATTCATATCTTGTTTGTCAGACAGTTGTATGCACAATTCTCTCCAAATATGCTTGCACAATGACTGGTGATATTCTGTCTATGAATTTGTGCTATCTAAATAACTTGCCACATGCTATTACAAGGTAATTGTAAGAAAATTGCTAAGTTATGTTAAGTTTACATGTATTTTTCTAGGATTCAAAATTTTGATTATGAGTTCATATTCTTTCCTTAGAATTTATTCCTTTATAGTCCTTGCTCATTCATTATCACCTGCTTCCTTTTCCACTGTGAAGTGGAAATGGGTGCAACACAGGGACCTTGGGATTTTTTGTGCCACCTGCACTGACCCTGATCAAAGAAGCTTGAAAAGCCCTACTTTAAGGACCAGAGAGGTTTTTCAATTCCCATAACTAGGAAGTATGGATTCAGGATTCCCATCCAGGCCAGCCTCACAGATGGAGGACGTGGTACATTTTTGGTAAATGGCACCAGTTACGTTCCTGTGGCTGCCTGAACAAGAAACCTCAGCCTTCCTTGTCAACTCAAGGAAAATTGGGATGCTAACATTTACTGAGGGACTACTGCATGCCTGTCACTCTGCTCAGTTGGTTAGGTCAAAACTTATTTAATATCATAACAAACCTATGAGATTCATAGCTTCAATCCATACAGGTGGAGAAATAGGTTCACAGGCTTGAATATTCGCTCCAAATTGCAGAAGCAGTATGTAGCTGATGAAAGCAGAAAGCAAACTTCAAAACCCATGTGATATTCACTGCACTATCTTTTCTTCGTTTTCTTTTTTTCCTCCCTATCCCCCATATTCAATTCTCCACCTATAAAGTTACACCAAATCTGTCCACACTCCACCATCTTCCCTTCTGATGCTCTACCACTGTCTCTCCTGTGGACAAGTGCAGGAGCTCCTGGCTTCCTTCCTGCTTCCAGTCCCTGCCCACACCCTCTCTCTGGTCCCCAGATTGCTCCTAGCAGCCCCATTCTATGTACAGATCTGATCATGCCCCACCTCTTTAACAGCCCTGCAGAGTTTATGGGGTATAAAACATTTCCTCACCCAGCTTTCCAACCTACCTTTCTGGCAATGTCATCCAACACTTCCTACCCACCCTCTCTGCCCCCATCCCACAAAACCCTCCAACACCCCGTGACCTTTCCAATGCAACTCATGGGCCTCTGCGCACTTGCTGCTCAGGGAAGCTGTGGATACCTTTTTAACCTACCTACCAGTTCTTCACCTGGCAGTGCTCAATAAATGTTCATGAGATGTACTAGTACCCCATAGCCTCTTGTGCACGTGAAAGCACACGGGAAAGCTGTTTTGTACAGCAGCTTGAAATGTTAACTGGGAGTGAGGATGCTTGAATCCTAGTTCAGGCTCACTGACTGTGCCACCAGGGACAGTGCAGACTTAGTCTCAGTCCCTGTAAAGGGTGGTATATCAGAGTGCCCATCTGGGGCTCACATTTGATGATGCAAAGGACTTGATGGCTTACCCCAAAGGTATCCCTTTTTCTCACCAACAGGAAAGGACCTCGGAAGTCTTCTAAGGAGAGTCATGGCGTATTACCAGGAGCCTTCAGTGGAGACCTCCATCATCAAGTTCAAAGACCAGGACTTTACCACCTTGCGGGATCACTGCCTGAGCATGGGCCGGACGTTTAAGGATGAGACATTCCCTGCAGCAGATTCTTCCATAGGCCAGAAGCTGCTCCAGGAAAAACGCCTCTCCAATGTGATATGGAAGCGGCCACAGGTGAGTGAGCCCCACACGAGCATACCCAGCTCCAGGGTCCTCGGAGTCGCCTGCCATGGCACCTCCAGCCAAAAGGAGGTGGAGCCAAACCAAACTGGAAGGAGAATGAAATTCACCAGGTATCTCTGCTACAGTGTTGTAGCTACTCAGCAGGATGGGAAGATGCTATAGCAGGAACCAGGAGCCCAGACTCCTGAGTTCTAACCCAGTTCTAACACTAAGTACACCACTAAATTAAAATACCTCAGTTTTTCATCCAAAAAATGGGAAACCACGGGTATGAAGATTGTAGTTGTTGCTCTTTGGAGTCTCCTCCACCCCATAATTGACCCCATCTATCACTCTGTCACCCTTTCTTCTCTTCAGGTGTCAGTATCTTTATATTCTTTTTTCCTTCCCTGTTAGAATTTGCTCAAAGGGAAGATAGCAGGTCAGTCATTTACACTATAGGATGAATTTAAATAATCACCTCTCCTCTCTGCTTTATATTCCCATTCTCGATCTTAGAGAGGCTCGACCACCTGTAAGAGAATTTTAGACATTAACTTTAAAATTAGGGAGAAATTGCAGGACAACATTCAGACCTCCCTGACTCCACAACCCCAGCAGATGGCCACTACCTCTACCTTGCAGCCAGGTGAGCCCTTCTGGTTTTTCTAGAACTATCTTAATTTTAGGGCATGACAAGTCCACGGAAAATATCTCAGCTGACTCAACATTCTGATAATCTCATCAGGACTACTGTTGATGCAAAGCACCCGGATAAGGACCACCCTAAGGACCCTTTTGCCCAAACCTCTATTCACACTTCTGTAGGCACCAGCATAACCTAGAATGAGATAAAATAATAGAATGTCTAGTAAGCTAATCATTATAATATCTGCAACCATTATTGAGCACTGATTAAATGCCAAGCACTGTCTAAACACTTCCCATAAAGTGAAGGTAGGTTACAGAGTAAAGTTATTTTCTATTGGTGACTACTAAGAGGCTATGAGGTCCTCTAAAGTATTTGTCTGGTCTGTGGATATCTAATTCAGTTCTGCACATGGGAAGGAGAACTGAAGACATCAGGCTCTGGGAGGCGACACACCTCTTGCCCTACGTTGGGGCAGATTTGAAGCTTTGGTGAAGGGAAGGGTTAGGGATCAGGTAGGGTTTGGGATGCTGCTTAGAGAAAAGTGGGGTGTTTCAGCATTCTAGGGTCCTCTTATCAGCCATTGGCAGTAAGTCCTCAACAATGATTCTCTTCTTCTAGCCTTTACCTCCTAAGGAGAGCTGAAGCAGAGAATTCTATTTAAAGAAGTTCCAAAAGGTCATTTTTTTCCCTTTGCTATTTTCAGAGGCTGAGATTATTTCAGAAAGTGGTGGGATTTTTTTCTCACAAGGTGCTGAGCAATAGATGTAAGACCATATTTATAGTGTTGAAGAATTTATAACACTTCTCTTTAGAAAGGATTGAGAGATTCTAATTATCTGAATCTCACAACAACTCAACTTGTGATGTCTTTTGGGGGCAAGGAGAAACTGAGGCCAACAGAAGTGAAATTACTTATAAAGAATAATGCCAGGAACCCAAAATAGAGGCAGCCAGGGGCCGAATCTGCTTTTCCCATTACTACTCTCCTCATCCAAAAGCTTACCTGAGCTCTACTGGGGGGACTGGGGACAGGGGTATTTTTCATTCTGGCACTTCTTTTTAGATGTCATATTTCTTTGTCTTTCTTATCACAGTTGACAAGACTTACCTTTGTGTAGTACTTTCCAGAGCTTTCCATGTGTCTTCTCATACTTTATCTGCTTTGTTTTCTCCTAACTTTATAGAAAACTGATGTTCAGACAGGTAATATGATATGCCAAGGTGACATGATTAGAGAGGGAAGGATCCAGAATTTAAATGAAGATTCTTTCCACCTGCTGCACTTTCCCCCCACTGACTTAAGTGCCTAGCAGGGACTCTGCTGGAATTTGGATGAACAAGTACATGAGTGAATGGATGAATGAAGGACCCTATCTACATGTGCCTGATGCATGTTTCAAGTTCACACGTGCAAGAAAGAAACTCTGAGTTGACGTATTTTCCAAGTAGGACAGTAAAGGAAAAAGCCAATGTACTCACCCCTTCGACACTGTGATGTCCTTGACCCACAGTGTACAGCTGTGACTGCAGAGAGCACTGGAAGAGGAGCCACACCAGCCTGGCCCAATCCTAGTAGTAATGGCCACACCCACAGAGTGTTGACCACATGGCAGGCCTGGCTTTAGGAGCTTTGACTCATCAATCTTCACAGTAACTCTATGATAAGGTACTGTTGTGAGCCTCATTTTGCAGCTGAGAAGCAGAATCAGAGAGTAGGGGGACCTCTGCCCAAAGTCATATAGTTAGATGATACTAGAGCTGGAATTTGAACCCAGGAGTCTGGTTCCAAGACCTGAGCTCCTAACACCATGTTACATGACCCTTGTAAGGCCTCATCATAAGCTTATGTCCTATTCTGGGCTCCTGCCTGTCACTAGTAATGTTTTTTGCACTAGTAGAATCTTCTACCTCATGTGAGTAAAACAGGAATCAATCCCTCTCTAAAGTTGATCTATGTTCTGCCCTTTTTTCCCTTTTTAGGGATAAAAATGGCACCTGTACCACATATGATTACTTTAAGTACTAAATGAGTACAATACTTAGAATAGTGTCTAGCACAGTCTAAACACTAAGTAAACACTAGTTTTTGTTACTGTGATTAATTTGGGAAAAGTCATAAGGTAGCAGCCTCAGGGCCTATTCCCTGGGATTCTTGGGTTTTCACAGTCCAGCCATCTCAGCTTCAGTCCTTGGCCAGTTTAAGAAAACTCTTTCAGGGAAAAATGTGGGTCAGGGGCTGAAAGAAGGTTGGCAGGGAGTGTAGAAAATGCCTTTCTTCTCATGTTCTGCTTTTTTTTTTCTTTTTTTTGAGATGGAGTCTTGTTCTGTTGCCCAGGCTAGAGTGCAGTGGCACAATCTCGGCTCACTGCAACCTCCACCTCCTGGGTTCAAGCGATTCTCCTGCCTCAGCCTCCTGAGTAGCCGGGATTACAGGCATGAGCCACCATGCCTGGCTAATTTTTGTACTTTAGTAGAGATGGGGTTTTACCATGTTGGTCAGGCTGGTCTCAAACTCCTGACCTCGAGTGATCCACCCACCTCAGCCTCCCAAAGTGCTGGGATTACAGGCATGAGACACCACACCCAGCCTCATGTTCTGCTTTCTATCACTATTTTTAGAAAGTTGACTGCCAAGCTATAGCTTGCTGAGTGCCTGTCCAGAGGTCTGACCAGTGGCCCTTAAACTTCAACTATATAATGGCTGAGGTAGCACCAAGGTGTTTTAGGCCATCTCCACATTCTAAGTTTTTCCTGACAATGAGAAAGCTCCTCCTGTAGGCAACTGGTAAACCACAAGGGACATCATTCTGTTTTGAGTATTCATCCCAGCTTGGCAGGTTCAACACTAGCCCAGAAGTCAGGGGCATGAGAACCAGGCTTAGCTTTCTATGCCTGGTGCAGAAAAGTTTTGTGTCATATATCTTTCCTTCTTTCTCCTCCCTGCCATCTTACCTACCCTTTCCTTCCTCTGGCTCTTATCCTTCCTTCCTCTAACAATTAATCCAATAATCTAAACCATTTTGCTGCTGAAACTTTTTCTGAAGTAGAAGGAAGCCCCGTTCACATCCTGCTTTATTCTGTTCCCAAGCCCTCCCCCTCCCCCAGCCAGGCTCCGCAGTAGCCCATGATGGTGCCCTGTGCAAATGGCACTGAGAGGACCCGACTCCTCATCAGCCTCAATGCTTCCTACAACCCTGGTCTCAGCAAGGGACAGTGCTAAAGATTATACTTACATGTGAGGTATCTATGTGATATTTCCCTGAGCTAAATTTAGTACTTAGAGTGGACCCCTTTTAGGAGAATTTTTATTTCATGGATAGTTTATCAAGCATGCACACGAGTGAAGTATTATGCTAAGCACTTTACATGCAATATTTCATTTAACTACCCTCACAGTCCTGTGAGGTAGATAATACTATCATCCTCATTAAATAGATCAGCACCATCCAATAGAACATTCTGTGATGATGGAAATGTTCTTCTCGCACTGTTCAATACAGTAGCCACTAGTCCCGTGTGGCTATTGAGCACTTGAAATGTGACTGATGCAACTGAGGGATTAAAGGTTTAACTTTTATTGAATTTAAATTAATTTAAATGTAAGTATCCACATATGGCTTGTGGCTACCATATTGGACAGTACACGATGGTAGACAGTAGAGCTTCACAACAATCACCAGTGTTGTCAGATAAACTGAAATTTCATCTTTGTACCCATTTTATAGTAAAAGACGTTTTACTTCTCAACTGAAAAATGGGCTGTGTGCCCCAAGCACGTTGCTTAACAGGTGTTCGAAGCTCAGCACAGCCCCGTTGTGGCTTCCCGCCTGTGGCCATCCTAGAGGGAGGCACTGCCTATCCCAGTGACATCTTCCTTCCACACAGCCAGAGCAGTTTCTGAAAGGATCATTCACTAGAAACGACTCACCTTGCGACCAAAACGTGCTCTTCAGGAAAGGAAGAGGTTAACAAGGTAAAGTTGTAAGTGCAGGTTAGGTTATGAAAATGTTCCATAAGGCAATAGGTAACAAAAAATGGCAGAAAGTGACCCTGCAAACAGCCAAGTGTCATTCAGCCAGAGAACTTTGATGCCAATAAATCTAAGTCCTCTAGCAAAAATAGAAAAGGGAGTGACGCTGACACCTGTCCCAGACTGAACTCTGGCCACCATGTGAAAAGGCCGAATACTAAGATGCTAAACACAGGGCTCTCTTATCCAAGAGCGGCATGCCGTGTGAGGATGTGGAAGTCTTTAGAGAGAATGCAGAAATATGAAGAGTGCTGTCACATGGAAGACATTATTTCTTGGCATATTTCTCCGTCTACCTCTGGAGACGATTAGGGTAGAGCAGCTGGCTTGAGATCACATCAGAGAGCGTATTTTCTAAGATGCCAGGAGCCCTTGCATTACAAGAGCTCTGACATACCTAATATAACACAGATTACCCCCCAGCTTTGCCTGGAGAAAGGTCTCCACAATCCAGAATTAAGTTCCTAAGATTACTTAGCTTGACTATTGCTGTTGGCTTCTGTATTACTCAGGGTTCTCCAGAGAAAAAGAATCATTAATATATACCCTGTTGACATATTTATTGCTAGTAAATATATCAATATATCTTATATAAATATATCCTAGTATATATCTCATTAACATATTGATGTATATCCTAATAGATATCCTATTGATATATTTATGATGAGAGATTTACTAGGAGGGATTGGCTCACATGCTTATAGAGGATGAGAAGTCCCACAATATGCCACCTGCAATCTGGAGACCCAGGAAAGCCAGTGATGTAGTTAAATCTGAGTGGGAGGCCAGAGAACCAGAGAATGGATGATGTAATTCCCTGTCCAAGGACAGGAAAAGACCAGTGTCTCAGCTCAAGGAGTCAGGCAGAGAAAGGGCAAATTTTCCGTTTATCTTTTTTTCTGTTTAGGCCCTGAATAGACTGGATGGTGCCCACCCACCCTGGGAAGGGAATCTGCTTTGCTAAATCCCCCAACTCAAATGTTAAAGTCATGTGGAAGCACCCTCATGGACATGCCCAGAAGTAATGTTTAGCCAAGTATCTGGGCGCTCCGTGATGCAGTTAGGATGGTATATAAAATTAACCCTCCCAACTTCCTTCTGCACTAATAATGTTTCAGAGCCCTCAAAGGCCAAGTCCATCTCACAGGATCTGAAAACATAAAGTTGAGAAGATGCTGCCTGCTGGTGTGGTCAGAGTGAAGAACAAGACACTATGGAGGCAGACACCTGATTCAGAGCCTGTTTCTTGTGTGACCTGGAACAAATCGGTCAACTTCTCTGAAGCTGCTCCTTGGCCCTGGCTGGGTCTCAGAATCCCCTGAGAAGCTATGTGAATCTTGAACGCTATCTCTGAATGACCTGTGAAATCAAAGTAGTGGGAAGTGGGACACAGCAGTCTCCCTGTCTGTGAAGCTGCTGGGTGATTCACAGTCGGCTGGAGACTGCCCATTGCTGGCAGTTCAGCCTGAATCTAATCCAGGTTCTCATCACACTGGCTTCACTGCCCTCATGTGCCTGACCCATCTGGTAACAGGTGGCCTTCCCAGAGTCAGCACATTCACATTTTCCCAGCCATCTTTACCTGTTTCCTTAATGGGCCTCATCTCAGGAAGTCAGCCTGGCAGACTAAAACGCTCCTGGGTATCATTTCCATCCCTTCCTACCATCTCTCTTTTTCGATTATTGG
This sequence comes from Homo sapiens, assembly GCF_000001405.40. Taxonomy (NCBI): domain Eukaryota; kingdom Metazoa; phylum Chordata; class Mammalia; order Primates; family Hominidae; genus Homo; species Homo sapiens. The sequence continues at coordinate 30,780,767 of NC_000002.12, read as the reverse complement.
TCACAGCTCTAAAGTCCAGAGTCCGGAAGGAACAAGCAGCTTAGAGGACAGGAGACATAGAAGCTGCTTTTGTGCCCACCTTTGATGAAAATGACTCCTATGTTTTCCCATAAACTTGAAGTTGACTATTGATTTGTGGTTTGAAATCATCACCATTGAATTTTCATCACATTAAAATATCTTTTTGTTCCTAATTAGCTAAAATTTTTGTTTTTAACTTTTATTGTTCTAGTAAATCATGAAAAGTTGTTGTATGTTTATCAAATGCCTTCATAGAATTTATTGAAAGGATACAAATTTTTCTCCCTTTGGCCCATGTAAGTGCTACTTCATATTATTAGATGTCTGATGTGAAACTATCCTTGCATTCTGCATTTCTACAGCAAATACTATACGATGATAACAAATTATCCAAAATAAGTCTGGTATGTCTGTGTGTTTTCTCTCAGGTTGGGCATCAAGGCTATGCTGGCTTCTTAAATGGTGGCAGGATTCTTTTTTAATTTTTATTTTTACACTGAAACTGTCAATGACACTGGAATTGTCTATTCTCTGAAAGTTTGAGGGAACTCAGAGGAAAAACTGCATGTACCTGTAAGCCTTTACAGCGCATGCGGGTGATACTCTTTGGTAACTTTAAAATACTATTCCAAGGCTGTTAGTCTTTTCAGCTTATTTACTAACATGAGTCAATGTTAGCCAAGTTAATTTTTGTCAAAAAATCATCAGATTTTTTAATTGATTGGCATAGAATTCTACATCATGATTTTATATTTCTAAAATGCAATTTTTAATTCTACTTTTATTTGGGTTTCTCTACCATATTTGCCAAAGGTTGGGTCTATGTAACCCTCCCTCAAATATTAGGTTGGTGCAAAAGTAATTGTGGTTTTTGCCATTGAAAGTAATGGCAAAAACCATTATTGGCCATTACTTTCAATGGCAAATAATAGAACAATTTATTTATTAATCTTGCTGTTTTTCTGGTATATAATTCACTAATTGTTCTTTTCAGTTCTTCCTCCTATTTTTGAGGCTCTTTTTGTCTTTTTCTTTCTAAGATCTATGAATTGACTGCTAAATTCATGTTTTTATTCTATCTTGTTTAATAATGAATGCATCTGAGGCTATGGGTTTGTCTGAGTATAGCCTTTTTAATTTTGCAAATATTTCAAAAGAGGGGGATCAATATTTGTTGAACATGTACTATGTCAGACACTGCGCTAAGTATTTCACATCCTTCCTCATTTGTAAATGTAAGGACTGGTCCAGCTTTACAAGGCTGTTGGGAGCCTACCAGAGAGAACCCAAGGTACCCGCCCTCAGCAAGGGTTTGATGAATGACAGCCATTGCCTTGATTGCATCGTCATTAGATTCTCTCAACTGTCTTTACATTTTGTATTATTGTTCCATTTTACACATGAGGAAACTGAGGCACAGCAAAGTAACGGGAATTGTTCAAGGTCTCAAGGTCACCCAGGGAGAAATATTAGAGTAGGATTGCACAACAGGTCTGTCTGAATGGGCTTTCCAAGCACACCTTCTCCTGCCCTGGGGATCCCTGGAGGGGAGCTAGCAGGACCACAGTGAAGAAGAGCTGTGGCCAAGGTCAAGAAAATGGAGCAAAGCCATTTTTGTTCCTGGTCTGAAAATGCCACAGCCTCCATCTCTTCTTTACTTCTCACGAGTGGAGGATCTTTGACAGCAGGCCTCCTTTGAGACCCTAAGTCCCCTTTTCCAGTAGAGAGAGGAGACAAGTAAAGGCTACTGAAATGCCCTACACCATTTTAAAACTGGCTCTACTTGGAGCTCTGCATGCAGCCGAAGGCCCTCCGGATGTCCTTCCCTCTTTCTTGCATTGGAGGAAATGCCAAAGTTCTGCCCACGATGGCTCTGGCAGAGGGTCGGACCTGGTGCCACCCCAGGGTCCCCCTCACCCGGGAGGGCCTGGGCCTGAGAGTTCCCCTCCCGGCATGTGACGGGGTCAGTTAGTTGTAGAGAAAGCAGCGGGAGGAGTTTGGTAAAATCATCCCCGCAGCCAGGACCCTGTGTTTGCAGGCGGGCACACCTTCGTTTTCCCCTTAGTGTGCATCTCTTCCAGGAAACCTGGGCAGTTTATGAAGAGCTGGCAGGTTCTACAAGGCACATGACTCTGTACATGAATGGCTACTGAGCAAATGAATCCAATTCCAGTTTGCGGGCCTGCTCTCTGCAGACTTATTGGTCAATGTGAAAAGAAATGATATAAGGACCAATTACCAAATTATGCAAATCCAGGAAGAGCTGCACAGAGAGGAGGCCGAGGTCATCCTGGCCAAGTCTAGAGGGCTGGCTGGTGCTGGGGCAGAAGCCAGACCTGTGGCCTGGTGTTCTCCCAAAGTGCCTGGGGATCCCCTTTAGGAACTCTCACAATTTTGGTGCCTGCTGACAGTTCTTCATATTCTTCCCAGATGTGGCAGCACTGGTGGAATCCTCCATAACCACTGTCTCTGGCTGGCAGGCACTATGTGTGTTAGAAGTTAAGGAAGGACCGGGCACTGAGTACCAGCTCCTCACACAAGGGGACTGCGGCCTTCCAGACCCGGTCTGTGAGTTACCCAGGGAGTGGGCAAAGAGCTGAGTCATGTGTACCTTGTATCCCTTACAGCACACGGCTAGACTTAAACCTGTAGTCCAAAATACCTATGCTAATTTCTGAGATATACCATTTCACAACAAAAGCTTTATTATGAAAGTTATAGTACTTTATTATGTTTATAAACCTCTCCTCTAATAAATGTATTCTATTCATTTTTGATGGTTTATTTACAACCTCTTAATAAAACACTGCCTTGTCGAGATGGAATGGCTATTTGATCCAAGGACTCCAAGTCCTTATTTATGTTATCTCTCCATGTAGTATGCTAATGCATTTATGGCCTGTCTTGTCAGTTACATTTACACTCCGTGACACCTGCTGCCTTCCTGGTAGCAATAAAGGCTGAAGAACGTGGTGAACTTTCCTAACTCGGATTTTAAGCACCTATTTAAGAATTAACCTCGACCCTTGAAAGACAAAGTGAATGATGTCGCTTTGGGATACAAAGGAATAAACGATGTTCATAGCTTTTCTCCCTCTTTCCTAAAGGATCTACCAGGGGGTCCTCCTCACTTCATCCTGGATGATATAAGCAGATTTGACATCCAACAAGGAGGCGCAGGTAAGAGTGCAACATCTTCCCTCCGTGCCCTGGATAGGAAGTGGTGGAGGGTGGTGCTTACCCACAGAGTCCTGCCCCACTTCTGAGGGAGAAAGGCCAGTTCCCTTGGTGCTGCCGTGGACAAACTGCTCACGCCCAGTCCTGCAGCCTGCAATGAGCAGGGGAAAAGGAGACAGGAAAAATGAAAGCAAACATACACTGAGTTTCTGCAATGACCGTGCAAGATACCTTGTGTGTGCAACAACCCCATTTTATATATGTGACAATGGAGAGTGCAAGAGGTAAAATAATTTGCTTAATGTCACACACTCAGTTAGCAACAGAGTTAAGAATCCAGCACTCTCTGACTGCTTCCCACCCCACCAGACATTCCCAGAGCAAAGGAGCTGCTGAGAGCTGGAGGGCATGGACAGGGAAACAGGAGGGGCTGCCTAAGAGGAGGTACCTGGGCTGTTCCAGGTGTGGCCAAGAGAAACCTCAGAAAGAGAAGCCTTGGAGTGAAAGGGCAGAGCTGGCTGGAAAGTGGATAGGAGTTGGGAGACAGCAAAAACAACAACCCTTCTGAGAATACACTCTAAGCTTTCAAAACGTCAGCTTGCCGATGATAGGTCCTGTACTTGAACTTCGCCTGGTGAAATCACCGTGCCTTGGACCAAGTCAATAGAGCCTGCCTGGCCACCAGCCAAGGGTTCCCCTGTTGGAGTTTCACCTAACTGGAGAAAGGACCTCTCTGAGGCCATCTTTGTGGCTTCTGTACTGAACCCAGTGTCTGGTGTGAAATGGCATTCAAAGACAAATTGATCATGTTAGGGGTGAAGGAGAAAGGACTCAGGGAGGGGAGGAGAGGCTCAAAAGGGCTTACAACGACATCCAAGGAGAAACTCGAGGCCATGCATCCCTCAAGGAGGAAAAGGAGAGAACGTCCCCCTACTTCTGCACAGGGACGGGCTGAGCTAACAGCAAAGAAAAACGCGAATCAGTTTTCCTCAATTGTACACAGCATCATTGCCAAAATTTGCTGTAACTGAGCACCTCTGGCAAAAAGAGAATCAGAGGCTGGACGTGCTGGCTCATACCTGTAATCTCAGCACTTTGAGAGGCTGAGGTGGGTGGATCACTTGAGGTCAGGAGTTTGAGACCAGCCTGGCCAACATGGTGAAACCCTGTCTCCACTAAAAATAAAAAAAATTAGCCGGGCTTGGTGCAGCTGTGGAGGCTGTGGCAGGAGAATCTCTTGAACCCGGGAGGCGGAGGTTGCAGTGAGCCCAGAGCGCGTCACTGCACTCCAGCCTGGGCTACAGAGCGAGACTCCATGAACACCACCACCACCACTGCCCCTTCTTTATCTTGCTTGGAGCCAGTCCCTGTGACTCCCTCCCCCGGTTCTCCTCTCTCAGAGGAAAAAAAAATGCATTATTTAGAAGGAATTGTGTAGCCTCTGGTGGTAAGGACCTTTGAAATTATGGGGGAGGGTTTCCAAGTGTGTCCAATCAGCCTTTCCTGGCTTATCTCCCCTCACAGCTGACTGCTGGTTCCTGGCAGCACTGGGATCCTTGACTCAGAACCCACAGTACAGGCAGAAGATCCTGATGGTCCAAAGCTTTTCACACCAGTATGCTGGCATTTTCCGTTTCCGGGTACGTGTGCCCTTGCAGCGCTCATTATATGATGGGGTTCTCTGTGAGTACAGGGAAGGTGAAAGTCTTAAGTTTTCTCGTGGCCGGGAAGCCTGAGATGAAAGTGACAGTTGTGTTAGTTACCCTCCCTACCTTCAAAAAAAGGATTCAAGCTTATAATCTGACAACACACAGGGAAGATGAGAGTTGAAATGTTTTTGTGTAAATAAAAAGAAATGACAGAAATGATTAGCAAAGAGTCACTGATCGAGAACCCTGTAACTAACATCGAGTTTTTGTCTCTGTCTATTCCTGTGCCATATCGTGCTATTTTGATTACAGTAGCTTTATAGGAAGTGGTAACATCTGGTAGGATAAGTTCTCCTTCATTATTCATTACCATTTTCTCAAAAATATCTTGGTAATTCTTGCACATTTATTCTTCCATGAGAATTTTAAAATTATTTTGTCTATTTTTTTTAAAAAAAGCCACTGTGATACACAATGCAGCAGCATTTATGTATTAATTTAGAAAAATTACATTTTTATTGTTTTAAGTTTTCCTTTCCAGAAACACGGGATACCTTTCCATTTATTCAGAACTAGTTTTCTGTCCTTCAATAAAGTGTTATATTTATATTGGTGGTGTATCTTTCTTGATTAATTCATTCTCAAACATTTTATGATTTTGTGGCTCATGTAAATGAGGTCTTTTTCCCCTCATTTTGAACTTGGTGCTGCTAAAAAAGAGAAAAGCTACTACTTACCATATATTAAACTGCATCTAGCCAACTTACCAAATTCTTTTATTAGTTCTTAATTCTTTCTTTAACAGAATCTGGAATGGTTTAGTTATCTAATAATATTATCTGCAAATAGATAATTTTCTATCTCCTTTTAATATTTGCAGAACTTCTTTTGCTCTCTTGCTTTGTCACATTAGCTAGAACCTCAGAATTTTGAATGAGTGACAAGAGCCAAATCCTGCCTTCTCTTGACTTCAGTAATGTGCTTCCTTGATTTACTCTTCTTTCAGTACATTCAAGTTGCTAAAAATTGTCTTGGAATTTTTGTACCTATATCATGCATAAAATTGATTTCTAGTTTATGTTATTTTTATCATGTTTAAGTTCTGCTAGCTTTTTAAAACAAACTGATTGAGCTATACATACCTTGATTTGAAGTAAGTAGAATAATGAGAGCTAATCATTGATTAACTGTTCTTTGAAAGTAAAATAGACAGTAGTGAAATTACCTGGGCCTGCCTCCCTTTTAAATGTGATTTCTTTAATTCTTCCAATGTATTCAATAGCTATCCAACAGGTCTTTTATTTCTACCGAAGTTAATTCTTGAAATTTATACTCGACTAGAAAAATCAACTGTTTCTTCGGTATTTTCAAATATATTGCCACTGAGTTGCTTATATGAATCTCTGACAATTCATTTAACCTCTTGTAATCTGTGACTAAATCTACTTTCTCAATCTGTGCTGTATTTTTACTTTTCCTTTTTTTCTTAATTCCGCTTTTCTTTATCCAGTCGATCTGTTGTGTGGGTGTTGTGTTTGTTTGTTTTTTGACAAATCAACTTTTGATTTTCATGAGTCTTTCTATTCTTTTTCTTTTGAGGTTTTGTTTACTATATAACTAATTATTTCAATCCTATCTTTATTAATTCCTTTATACTTTCTCCTAATTTTATTGTTTTTGTGATTTTCTGAAACTGCACACTTAATATTCTTAGTCTTTTTACTTTCCTCTGAGGTGTGTATCCATAGGTTTTGATATAAAAAGTCTTACTTTTATTAATTTTTAAGATAATACATTTTTAGTTTTTGTATCTTTTTTCATATAGGGGTTGTTTCTTTAAAGTTTATCTGATTTTCAAGTGATTAAGTTTTGCAAGGGATAATCTTTTAGTTGCTGAGTCTCTGTTTTATTATAATTGGAGAATATAATTCATAACTCTCTGCATTTGGGGAGATTAATAAAGTAGTTTTATTTCTAGCCAAGCCCACAGCAGTTTTTATAAATGGCTCATGGACACACAAGAACAATCTATATTATCCAGTGGTTGTAAGTTTTACATACTGAATTAAGCTCTATGATTTGCAATTGTGTTATCTGTCATTATGTCTTTCATCTTTACTTATTTTTTGTCTGCTTGATTCATTAGATCATAAAGAGGAGAAGTTCCTCCCATAGTTATTGTTTGGAGAATTCTTCTTATGCTTTCAGGTGCTCTGGCTTTACACTTTTCCTGCTATGTTCTTTGGTGCCCAGAGGTTTACGATCTTGCTATTTTCTTATTGCAACAAAATTTGTACAATATCCCTATTTGTTGCATTTAATGCTCTGGCCTTGGGTTCCTCTTTACCTGATATTCCTATTGCCACTTTGGCTTCCTGTTATGCACATTTCCCTGTTCTATTTTTGTTCATCTCTTTATTATTAATTTCATGCTCACTTTGTTATAGGTGTGTTTCTTATAAAAAGCATATTTAAAACTCATTGCCTACCACTGTTTCTCCCACCCTTCATTTCTCCTTAAAATTTTTGTTCTAATTAAACCTTTATTAGATAGAATTTCCTTGAATAATTCCTCAGAATATGTGAGAGTTTTTCCTTTGCTCTCACTTAAAAATGATATTTCAGTTAGGTTTAGGATTCTTGGATCACGTTTCCTTTCCTGAAAAGTCTGTAAACATTGTTTCGTTGTCTTGTAGCTTCCAATGCTGCAGAAGAAAAATCTCATGTTAATCTATTCTCTGGACTTTGACTTTGTATGCAATGTGTTCTTTCCAACTGAGAGTCTATAAGAAGTGCTGGCCAGGCGCAGTGGCTCACGCCTGTAATCCCAGCACTTTGGGAGGCTGAGGTGGGTAGATCACGAGGTCAGGAGATCGAAGCCATCCTGGCCAACATGGTGAAACCCCATCTCTACTAAAAATACAAAAATTAACTGGGCGTGGTGGCGCATGCCTGTAATCCCAGCTACTTGGGAGGCAGAAGCAGGAGAATCCTTGAACCAGGGAGTCAGAGGTTGCGGTGAGCCGAGATCATGCCACTGCACTACTGCACTCCAGCCTGGCAACAGGGCGAGACTCCGTCTCAAAAAAAAAAAAAAAGAAATGCTCTCTCTCCTTGGAGTTCAGAAATCTATATGTACACCTGCTAAAAATTAATCTTGTCTGGGAATTCAGTGATATTTTTCAATCTGAAGACCTATATCCTTCTAGTCAACTAAGTTTCCCTCTGTTATTTCTGGGCCCCTCCTTTATCCTGCTCTTGCCTCCTTATATTCAACTATTTGCATATTAGGTCTTCTGTCAGGCAGGTGATGCTAGTGCTGCTGGTTCAAGGACCACACCAGGGAGTGAGCTAGAGGATCCAGGATTGAGCTGTGTCTGGGCTTGTCCCAGGGTGCCAGCATTGGTGGAGCTACTTAGGTGGTTAGGACAACTCAAGGCCCAGGCAGGACTCGCTTTGCCCTTTTGGGTGGTGAATAAAGTCACACAGTTCCCCAGAAGCGGCTGCAGTGCACTAAGCTCTGTAGATTTCCTCTCATTGCTGGGAGCCTGGGTACTGCTTTCCAAAAGTTACCCAGTGCCCAGGTCACCTCAGATGCTTTGCCTAAAACACTCTGGTTTCCCTGTCAGACAACTGGGTGTTGGCAAAATGGCCTCCAGCATTGTTCTTGGAAGGTACAGACATGATCCAAATGCCAGCCCTCCCCACCCAGAGGCATGAACCAGGAAATGCAGGTGGTGGCCTCATTCTTGACCACCAATCAGGCCTTTTGCATCCTCTCTGAGAGTGGCAAACTTATCTGATGTCCCCTTTGTATAGGGAGAGCAAGTTTGGTCAGCATTACTGGTGTGGGAAGATAGGGCGAAGAGTTATTTTTAAGATGAACTAACCAGAGAAGCTCATTCGAGCCGGGACTTACTCATTCTTAATGTCCTACTGTGTGCCAGGCATTGTCCTAGGTGCTGAACCAAACGGCCACTGACAAAGAGTCTCTACTCTCATAACTACAATCTTGTTTTCATAATCTCACCTTTTGTGATCTCATCTAATCCTAATCACAACCTATGAGGCAGTTCCTACTCTTACTGCCATTTGACAGATGAGAAAACTGAGTCCCAGAGAGTTATCTTGTTCAACATCTGTTGCTAAAGTAATAAGAGGCAAGACCAGCATTCAACTACAGTTCCACCAGCTGACTGCTGTCTACTATATGCTGCCACCCAATTAAGCACAAAATCCAGGTTGTCCTTTTGGTACTCCCTTCTGGGGACTGGGATTAGCTTCCCTCGGTGCTTCGGATGCATTTTGTAATCACCCTCCTAAAACCATCCCTGTTGCCTCTCAACCTCACTGCCGACACATCTTGCTGCTCACTGCAATAGGAACACAAGTCCACAGCTGTGCAGAACCTGCCACAGTGCACTGGCTCATTAGCAGCTATTAAAACATCTTTGCTTTGTCTCCACTGACATATCTGTCTCAATCTCCATCTCTGCTCTGAAATTGCATCCTCGGCTGGATGCAACAGCCTGACATCTGGGACATCCAGATGTGGAAAAGGCCACGTGGATAAGCGATCCCATCCACCCAGCTTTCCATGGAGTCCACCCAGTGGAAATTTGCCTTTGCCAAAGCTCAGGGCTGAAGCTGGAAGCCCTGCTGCTTCTCGTACACAGGGGAGGCCAGCAAAGAGAATCCAAAAAGCTGGATTTGTTATGAATTTTCCTCATTTGGCCATGTCCCCGGTGAACTATATAGAGTTGAATGCTAAAGATTCAAACAGTCTGTTTTGGAGAGGAACATCCGGTTCATCTGCGCTCTTAGCAGTAGCGATGCCAGCCAGTATCCTTTCTGCTGCTATAATGGCAGGGCCAGCTTGATGGAAGAAGAGGGGGGCCAGAGGGAGGCTGTCACTGCTCGGTCCTCCTGAGCCATCCATGTCATCTGTCTCCAGGCCTTTGCCCACAGTGTGCCTCCTGTCTGGGATACCTTCCCTGTCTCCCTGCCACGTGCTTAAATCCTGCCTCTTCCTTCAAGCCCTCAGCTCCTGCAGGCTCTGCCTCTCTCATGCTAGCCCTGCCCCCACCACTCTCCTCTGTTGGTAGCATTGCTTCCCTATTGCCATTTTGTGCACAAGAAGTACCTGGAGAGTTTCACTTGTGTCACTGAAGCTCACAAAGGACTTGCCAAAGAGAGGCAACGCTGAGGAGCAAAGTGAAGCTAGAACCCAAGTCTGCTTCTTCCCTGACTATATCTTCCTGGACTAAGTTGGTCTGTGACTCATTTTCTCCATCTGCCGGTTGAGATGACATGCCTGTCTCCTGCCTGGCAACCTGGGCTGGGATTTTGTTCGGAATAGAGTTCATTATTGCATTGTAGAGGTCATGTTGCAACTTTTGGCTTAGGTTGGGGGACCCAGGAGCTCCCTTCTGCCTCAACTCTGTCAAAGCATATGCTTGGCTCTCTTCCAGTTCTGGCAATGTGGCCAGTGGGTGGAAGTGGTGATTGATGACCGCCTACCTGTCCAGGGAGATAAATGCCTCTTTGTGCGTCCTCGCCACCAAAACCAAGAGTTCTGGCCCTGCCTGCTGGAGAAGGCCTATGCCAAGTAAGTACAACCCCGCCACCCATCAGCCCAGAGTTTCAGTGCTGGTCCTGCCTACCCGGAATGCAAACAGTCCCTGTTGGAGCATTGCAGCCTTTGCCACCTGGCTGGGCATCTCCATAAACAATCACCACGTGCAAAGGTCCATGTTGGGGCCATCAGGAGAGTCCCACAGGCACATAGTGAAGAGTGGGCAGGGTAGGGGCTGGACAGAGATATGCACTGACAATGATATTATTGCAAGGCTGGTATCAGGGCCCAAAGAAATATATTTAATAATATCACGGTCAAAGTCCGATGAGAGCGCGGAGGAGTGAACAATTCTGACTCTGACTCACAGAAAGTCAGGCTGAGGCTGTGTGGAGGTGGTGGCATTTGAGTGAGGCCTCAAAGGATGGGCAGGATTTCAGCAAGGGGAGAGGGGATAGGTGGGAGGAGGCATCTCCAAAAATGGGAGTGATTCAAATAAAGACATCATCAGGGGTGGTCCAGGCAGTTGGGCACCCGGTGTGGCTGCTACGAGGTGGCATTTATGTGTGGGGGTGGGGCAGGACATGCTTATTCTCATATGGTCAAAATACCATAACTTAGGAACTGCCTTTAGGTGCTGACAAGCTTAAGAACTTATAAACATCCCAATTCACATGTCGTACTTAGATTCTTTGGGTTGCTTTTATTCAGCAGATGTTTATTGAGCATTTAACCATATGCCAGGCACTGTGCTTGGCACTGGGACAGATGCTCTCAGACTGACTCAAGTGGTTGTGTGCAGGACTGTGGATGGGGGGTTGCACGTGTGTGTGTGAGGAAGAGGGCACTGTCCTAAACACCCACACAGGTGATGAAGATACACTCAAACTTTCCATAATCAATACAATGGAAACACGAAGAGTAATGACACATCCGTCTCCTCCTATGAGACTGCAAAAGCTGGAGAATGCCAAGTGCTCGCCAGCATGTGGGGATCCAGGACCCTCCAACAGCACGGGAGGGAGTGTGCACCCAGGCAGCCTTCTGAAGGACAACCCGACAATACTTAGCTTGGCTACACACACTTCTCACACCCAATAGGGACATTCCTGGGGGCCCCTAAGGGGACACATCTGAGGATGTTCTTGACTGCCACAAGGGTGGTATGGAGTGTCCATCACTGAGGTCAGTGGGTACAATGGGTGGGTACACTTCATGGAGAGCCACGCAGCAGTCAGAAGCCACAGATCCCATCTGTGCACTGTGACTGGGACAGTCCTTAGAGACAGGGTCCTTGAGGCCCCCTAGAAGTGTCCTTAGTGGGTGTGAGACGTGCGTGTAGCCAAGATAAGTATTGTCAGGTTGTCCTTCAGAGGCTGCCTGTGTGCACACTCCCTCCTGTGCTATTTGGGGGTTCCTGGATCCCCACATCCTGGCAAACACTTGGCATTCTCCAGCTTTCTAGCTTTTGCAAATGAGGTAAGAGGCACTGAGCAATCCCATGCACAGTTATTTATGGAAATGGAAACTCTGTGCCCAGCAATTCTCATTTCACAAGAACGCATACAAACAAAAGGTGCACATTCCACATCCTGAAATGCTTGTCTTGGGGTGGAGGAGAAAAAGAATGTGGATAAAAGGAAGGAAGGAAGGAAGGAAGGAAGGAAAAAAGAAAGTTCATGAAATGAAATGAAACAAATTTAAAAAAAGAGCAAGACCTTGCAGTGACGATATTATGAAGGGGGAAGGCGGCACACCTGGAAATAGGACAGGAAGGTATGCAGAGGCCCAGGGGCAGGGACTCTCATGGGGCTGGTCCCCAGGGGCTGGAGCAAGGCTCTGGCGTTGGTTTGGCTGCAGCTGCTGTGGCTTCTGCTCTGCTCTGCTCCTCTCTGTAGCTGGCCCGCTCCTCCTCCTCCCACCCAGTCACCTGTCTTTGCTATGCATCTTCCTCTGCTGCCTCCTCGCTCCACATTTCTCAGGACCCCCACTTCCTCTGAACTCCTCATCAGGCCAACTGGCCTTGTGCCTCTGTCTTTACCTTCTGCTGCTTTCCACCCGATTCCCTGCCCAGTACCTGATTCCAATCCAGAGAGTTGGAGTCTTATTGGTCAAGCCTGGGTCAGGACCCCATCGGCCCAATCAGCCATGACCTGGGTCAAGTGGCTACAAAGGGACAGGATCTGGGGAGGGGACACTTGCCCTCAGAAGGGGCTGTGTGTGAGGCAGGCACCGTGAAGGGGCAAGGGAAGTGCCAGAGCTGGGGATCATTGCTAGCAGATAAAAGCAGAGAGGACCATGCCCTTGAGGAGAAAATGAGTGGAGAGCATCATAGGTCCAGAAAATTCTGAAGATCATCTCTTCTTCAGAGATGAGTCTCCATTTGTGATGAGATGGCAGGTGCACGTAGTTAAGCTGGGCCTGCCAGGTCTTTACTCACCTGGCCAGGGGACATCTTTATCTTTCCCGTCCATTCTGCAGCCTTGCCGAGTGCAGTCCTGGGCCCTAGAGGTGGTGATAGCACCACAGTCCACCCCTGTCCTTCTGGAAGTCACAGTCCAAACAGTGAGGTGCCTCAAGACCTCTTTTTGTGCATTCTTTCTTTTTGAGGCAAACTTGTGAAAAACTAAATTTTTTATTCATTTCTAGTGTCAGAAACAGCTGCTCATTAGCATTTGAGAATGAAGCCCAGATAACAGCCAAGGTTGTTGAACCAATCCACATGTTTGGGAGGTGAATTCACTTATAAGCTTCTTACGAAAACACTGCCATTATCTTTTCAATACGGATTCAGCCCTCATCTCTTCAGGGCCTCGTTTTATCCTTATGTAAAAACGGGGAGACCAGTGGTTCCCTGGGAGAAGTAGAAATCTTGCAGAAGGACATGATGACTTTGACCCCATTTTGTTAACAGATGACCTCAAGCAATCATTCAGCTTGAAAAGAAATAGGAACGTGGACCTGGCATCCGCATTCTACTGCTTAAAGAAATCTGCAGAGGATACAATGTCTCAAACTATTAAAGCTGTTTAAAAGGTCCCCCACCCCTCACTATCCAAAAAAGGAAGCTCTGAAATGCAGGGGTGAATCACATAGAATTATGGGGTTTCAGAGCCAGAGAGGACGTCTGTGAGCCTCAAACCCCACCTTCTTTGAAAGATGAGGAAACTGAGGCTCAGCGAGGTGAAATGGCTGGCCCAAGATCACATGCAGATGAGGATGGGGTGAGCACGATTTTCCCTAGTCGCTATTTCCCATGCCTTCCCACCATCCCTGACGCTGTCAGTCCTACAGGAAAATGACTTGTCTTTTGCTGCTTGTGGAGCTCAGCGTCTGGCACATGAGGACCACAGCCCAAATGTAGAGAGCCCATCTGTCCAGATGGAGAGGGACCTCTTCCCTCCAAGGGTGCAGGCAACAGCCCAGTGAACACATGGACTCTAAACTTTCTATTCTCCTTGCAGCTGGGGAGTCTGGAAATTAATTGGTCAAGTCAAATGAAAACCATATTTAGGGTTTTGTTTTCCCCAGAGGTCATGAAATAGAGAGGAGATTGAGGGACGAGAGCTGGTAGGCTGCTTCCCATCCTTTATGGGATCTCTACAGCATTTCAGCATCTTCTCTGGCTCTATCTGAATTCTTTCCTCTTTCATATGATTGCCGGGCAGAAAGACATTTTCCCCAAATGAGGCTGAAGCAGAGGGATGGGGACAAGGCTGTCTCAGAATTCCTGGGTCAGGTGACGAGGAATAGTGGTGGCTGCGGTGAACACAGTTCTCTCTCTCTCTCCTTTCTACTTCCTGTCAGCAAAGGGGGCTAAGAATAGTTGCCATGTTCCTGAACATCAGCAGGATCCGTGAGCTCATGTTTAGAAAGCAGAAAGATAGCTCCTTGTCAAAACACCCAGCTGCTGCTGGGACAGGTTTCATGGGCGTTGTGGATACGTAGTAAGAGAAGACTTCAGAAGACACCAAAGGGCTCTAGCCGTGAGTGGCAGGGAGTGCCTTTGGTTGTCTTGGGTGACTCCGAGGTGACTGCCGGATGCTGTGGGTGCAGGACGTCAGGTGGGGCCCACAGGCAGTGAGACAGTGAAGTGACAGAGGGGCCAGGCCCCACCGCGGCTTTTCTGGAGTGCTGTTCTTTAGCACAGCCCTGTTTGAAGCCAGGAAAGGCGCCCTGAGCGTATCACCAGAAAGGGGCTGTTGCAAAGAGCAGGAGGTAGCACTGGTGGGGAATGGGTTCCCAAACCCCAGTCCTTGTGAATTTCCAGCACCCTCAGCCACTCCCTGGTAACTGGAACAGGAGCCAGAACCCACATGGGACAGCAAGGGAGTCCAGAGCTCAGCCCCAACCGGGCACGCTCACCACCAAAGAAGGCTCTACAGTTAACTGAGCAAATGCTCCAGAGAGAAAAATCTAGACCCTGGGTCAGAGAGAGGGAGAGCAGGAGGATAAGGTTTAGAACCAGTTTTAAAACAAGTCAAGATTAATCTGTCACATGGGGGCTCCTGTAGAGATGCCCCTTCGTTCTGGGAATCCTCAGCTTTCTTTAATAAAAGGCTTTCTAAGCCATTCCTTCTAAGCATTCGTGCCCGGGGCAGAGTCCTGCTGATAGTGACTGCTTGATACGATACGCATTTGCTGAAGTGAATCTACTGGAATTCTGTGTGATCCCCAGGAAGAGAGAATGTCAGAGGTGGAAACAGTGAGAAAGGAGTGTTGAGGACTGATCCAGTCCACCCTGCAGCTTCCAGATGAAAGGCCAAGGGCAGGGAGGGGAAGGGTCTTGTCCAGTGTGGAAGACCCAGTTGGAGGGAGCAGCAGGATAGACCCAGGTCCTGATCATGTGTGATTTTGCATTACCAGAACAAAAGCTGCAGCCAGGACTTCCTCCACTGCCTTCTACCCTGTGAAGGGCTCTGCCTCTGCCTGCTCACCGGGGACAGGAACGTGTAGGTCCCTGGCGAGAAGCCCAAGCAACAGAGGCAGCAGTGAGTGTGGCTCCTGCTGGGTGGCTTTGATGCCAGGGTCTCCTGCCTGATCTGACCTCAGTTCCATATCCTCTGTGAGCTTGCCCTGCCTAAATTTCAAGATTCCATGGAACGCTTCCAATTCACCCCATGGATGGGAGCTGAAGTTCTCAAAACAAATCTAACTGTCCGGCCCCTGCATGAGAGGTTCCTTTGTGACTGATCAGGCCACCCTCTCTCCTGGGGAACATTAGGCCTCTTGGGTCTGGCCCTGCCCATCTCCCAGAAACAGAAATGCCATGGGTCGGGGTGGAGGTGGGGTGGCAGGAAGAGATGCTTTGGAGAAGGGGGTGAGGGTTTTAAGCTTTTGGGGTATGTTATGTAAGACTCATCCTTACCTATGTTACCTTCAGTTAAGCCAGTGATCTCCCTAATGATCTGGGGGCGAGTGGGTAACTCTGGGAATGGGAATTCTGGATCAGGGTTTGCAGAGTAAGAACAGTGGCTCCCAATGTCCACTGCCAGCATCAGGGTATGGCTATGAGCTCTTAGAGGGCAGGAATGGGGTTTTTAAACATATGCCTCTCATAGTCCCTCGCCCACAGTCAGTACTTCACACTGCTGTTAAACTGAATGGGAAGCAGGAGTTACTCAACATAATAATATCCAGGACTCATTAAGGGATGGTCACGTGCCGGGCACTATGTGGAACATAGCCCCATGAAGCTCATTAATGTGCCCAAGGTCAAGCAGCCAAATACGTGGCAAAGGTGGGGTTCAACCTGTGCCTCCAGCACAGGCACTCCCAGCCTCTCGTCAGTGCTGCCACTTATGGGACTGTGCAGGCCTGGGGGACCAGGGCAGGAAGGTACAGAGGATGGTAGGAGCCCCTGGAGCTGCAGACAGTGCTAGAATCTCCATCCAGGCAAAGGGGAGGTGGGTGGCCATGATCAGGAGTGGACCAGGCAGCCCCTTACCTGGGAAATAGGCAGAGGATCAGTGCACAAGCTCCCCTCCCAGAGCATCTCACCAAAGGCACCACGATGGTTCATCCCCCATTCCCTCCCAGGCTGCTCGGATCCTATTCCGATCTGCACTATGGCTTCCTCGAGGATGCCCTGGTGGACCTCACAGGAGGCGTGATCACCAACATCCATCTGCACTCTTCCCCTGTGGACCTGGTGAAGGCAGTGAAGACAGCGACCAAGGCAGGCTCCCTGATAACCTGTGCCACTCCAAGTGGGGTAAGTCACTGGGGAGCCCTTTTGCACCAGTTCAAGCTTTCCTCAGCCAGGAATGCTCAGCCAGGGGTCCATTCAGCTAAGGAGGATGTGGCAAGCTGCCACCATTAACGAACACTGATAGCGTGCTTTACCCGGGTCACCCCATTGAACCCTGCAGTAGCCTGCCTCTAAGACATAAATTGCAGAATTCACTTCACAGAAGAAAAGGCGGGCTCAGAGAGGCTACCTAAGGTGCTCACCAACACACAGCTCATAAGTGGCTCGACAAGTCTTCCAATGCTGCTGCGCCAGAGCCTGGACCTACTGCTACAGCTCCCAAGCAACCAGTGGGCTTTACCATGCACTGGTGAACGCAGCTTCAGCTCCTTTGTATTTTGCCTTAAGTTTACACGGAGCCCCCCAGGGCCCTCTGATGCTCACTGGCTCTAATGGCAGCACCCAAGGGCAGCATGACCCATTTTGAAAAGCTTGGGTGACCCTCCAAATTATTTGAGTCTGTTCTGAGACATCTGGTTTCTATCCATGGGGATGCTTCCTTCATCTTGAAACATGTGGGCTTTGAGTCACACATTGCTAATCCAAAATGCCACCAGAAGCCCAAGATGCAGTTTAAACTCCAGTTACTCCCAATGTGGGGGTCAAGTGATTCCTGACTCCTGTGAATGTCCCAGCAGACATATTTGTGCCGTGTCTCACTGATGACATGTGGTTGGTGGAGAGAGTAACCCAGGCCCTCGGGACTCCACGGGGTTCTATCACTCATGGGGGTGGTGCCCTGAGGCATGAAATCCCTGGGGCCTCAGACACCCAATGGCCTTCCAACTCTGCTGCTCTAGAAAAGAGTTCCAGGCCATATACCAGTCCCAAGTGAGTCAGTGAGGCCCAGATGGCTCAGTGGCTGTTTGGACTGTGTTTTTCTATTTCTTTGAAGAACCTGTAGATGTCTAATGTTTGATCTGCTTTTCTGCCTTGAAGCCAACAGATACAGCACAGGCGATGGAGAATGGGCTGGTGAGTCTCCATGCCTACACTGTGACTGGGGCTGAGCAGGTAAGGCTGGCTGCTGGCCTGTCCAGCTCTCCCCTGGCCTCTGCCCCAGTGTTCTTGTTCCTCTCAATAGGGGCCAGAATCACATGAAAGCCCAAGAAAGATGAAATGAGGATATATCGCCCTTGCCTCTGTGGTGACATGCACCATGGACAGCCTCAGCTCCTTCTGTTCAACCAGAAGTTCTGACTCCCAGTGTCCTCCTTTCTGAGAACCCACCAGAGATGTTGCTGTCCTGTTGCTGATCTCAGACAGCTCTGACTGTCTATCTAGACTGGGAGATTAGCCCCAAAGGAGGTAGAATGAACTACCCAGTTGACTCCAGGGAGGAAGTTTTGCCCTGAAAGGGGTTTTATTTGTTACATGCAAGCTAAATTGTTGTAACAAAGACACTCCAAAATATAGGGTCTTAAGACAAGGTTCATTTCTCTCTCAGGTAAGCAGGTGATGCCAGGACTAGTAGGTGGCTCTGCCATCCTCGACATGGAGCTTCCATCCATGTGCCCAAGACAGCTGCTCTGATCCCTCATCTCCCAGCCAGGGGAGAGAAAGAGGCCAGGAGACACTCATACGTCCATATAGAAGGCATGAATTGGAAGAGGCATGCATCATTTCTCTCACATCCCATTAGTCTAAGCTTAATTATATGACCACACCAAGGCCAAGGGAGGCTGGGACATACACTGTCTAGCTGGGCCCCATATGCCCAGATAAAACTTTATTCTCATGGAAGAGGAGGAGGCTGGCACTGTAGGACAATCGTGCTCCTCAGTGGAAGAACTGACTTTGGCTGGACAAAAATGTATGTGATCACTGGCCTGGAAAATACTACTGAAGCACAACCTTCTCCGTTCATAAAGGAAGAAGCTGAGACCTGATAGGAGAGATGTCTTTCACGAGGTTAGATAGATAGCATCTGAGAGACAGCTGGCCTGGACACTCTGTCTCTTTAGTGTCCGTCTACATTTGTCACCACACTTGCGGTGACAGCACTTCCTGGCTATGGGATGGTTTCCTGCAAGTGTTCCCTGATCTCTGTATTTCCCACAACACTTGAGGTCTAATAATGTCTTCTAAGCCCTGAGAGACCAAGTTCCAAACTCTAGGGCACATAATTTCTCCCAGGACTTTATGGACCAAGGACTGCAGAGCATCAGGCTCTATGTGTGGCTTTCTCATACTTGCCTGGCCTCTCCTCCTTTCCCACATGTCCTTCCTCTCTCTACCCATCTGTCTCTCTTGTCCATGGACCTGAGGCCAGTTGTTCCATTGTTTCATGGTTTGATCGGTGTCCCAATCACAAAACCAAGACAGTATCTCCAATCTCTAATGAATGCTTTTTGGACGATAGGTAATTGTCCAAAATTGACCTCAGCACTTCCAGATTCATGGAAAGAGAGCTGTTATCAATTAGTAATACCTGTTTGGGGCATGAGATGAGGAAGTCAGGTGCCTTTGCAATGTATTTGCCATTCTTGGACAAGATCCTTTTTATACATTGAGATAGCCTTTGTTTCTCCTCTGAACACAGGGGAGAAGGGATTCGTGTACCCAGAGGTCCAGATGACCTTGGAGCATGAGTCCCCGCAGAGGCTGGCTGTGGAGATGGCAGTGACTGCTGGGTTGCAGAGCAGCTATGTGAACACCTAGGGTGACAAAGGGGAGCTCGGGAGTCCAAGTGTGGGCTCAGCTGCCGTTTGGGCTCCTGATCATGACACCCACAGCTCGAACATTTGTGCCCCCATAGTGTACACTTGGAGTTGTTTCAATAATATACCGAGTGGTCTAAACAGAGCACCTCCCCTGGGAAGACAGGTGATCAAGACCGCATGTCCCGTGTAATCCATCCCTGCTCCACCATTCCATGTAGCTGACACTTCCCAGAATGTGTTCTAAGAAGCACTAGCCTCTATGAAAATGGGTTTCCAAATACATTTGGAAAAGCAACTCACTATATCCCCTCCTTGGAGATTCAGAGTGTACATTCACATTTTAAGGACTCCAAGCGGCCTGTATGAACAGTGCAAGCACTGCTGGTTTTTATTGTACCATTAGCCACAAAACCATTTTTGCTAGGAATAACTGTTAATGGCCAGTGGAACTGGCATTCGGGATAATTCATTTGAGGAAGTACTACTGCAGGGTAGATAACTCGGGCCACCTCCTGCCCAGTAGCACCTTTTCTGAGCACTGAGCAGGGTCAGAGGCAGAGTCAGAGGCCAGGGAGTGAAGAAGCATGTGGCTGGCCCATTCTCAGGTGTAGCCATGGCCTTGGCCTCGCGTGTGACCCCTGCTCCCCCAGACCAAGGCCCATGCGAGCGCCAATAGGTCACTGTCATAAAGGAGGGACACAAGGGCTCACGAACTTGACTTGGTTAAAGATTCCTCCTCCAGAGAGAGGCAGTTCTAACTCTGAACCACAAGTGCTAAGATTAAACCAGCCCATAAATGTGGCGCGCTTTTTAATCTGCTCATCCTCCCTCTAGGCGGGACACAGACAGGAAGATAAATGAAATCGGCATTTTTTATTATGCACCTAGCTCAGTCGGCGATTCCCCTGGGCATAGGGGTGAGTGTTTATCTGCATGCCTCGTTTAGCCCTGCTTTCAGCCCCTTTGAATCGCAGGCTGCTTTTCTCCCCACCATGCCCACTGGAGCCCCTGAGTATCTGTGAGGCACTGACGGTGGCTCATTAAGCTGTTTGGGACACCAAGTGACCATTGCTTGTGTCCCTGCTCCATGGGCTCTGTCAGGTGCTGGCAGTTAACAATAAACTGCGTATCCATCCTGGCTAACACGGTGAAACCCCGTCTCTACTAAAAATACAAAAGATTAGCCGGGCATTAGGCGGGTACCTGCCTGTGGTCCCAGCTACTCGGGAGGCTGAGGCAGGAGGACGGCATGAACCCGGGAGGCGGAGCTTGCAGTGAGCCGAGATCGTGCCACTGCACTCCAGCCTGGGCGACCCAGCAAGACTCCATCTCAAAAAAAATCACAACAATAATAAATGGCGTGCAAGGCCTGGGGTGCCTTAGGGTAGGGCAGACAGGGGTGGAAAACCTGGGTTCGTGCCTCTTGGAGGCATTGCAAGTCAGAGCCCCTTCTGCTGAGGTACTGGCCAGGGAGCGGGGCAGGCAAGGGAAGCAACAGAAAAGAGCCTTATCCGAGCCAGGCTCCTGGGCCCATGTGTGACTGTGCGGCTCCTGCACAGCAATGCCCCACTGCTGAGCATGGGAATTGACCAGGTGGCTCAAGGGTCACAGTCGAGGCCAAGGTCACAGCCACATCCAAGAACGAACCTTTACTCATGCCTAATTCCAAAACTAGGAGCCCGGACTTTAGATACTCACCGTGGCTGGATTGGAATTCTGCCTCCGCCGCTGTCTCAGCGGTATTGAGAAAGTTGCTCAGCTTCTCTAGTGCCGTTTCCTTAGCGCACATCAGCCCGCACCTAGCTCTGAGCCCTGCGTCCACCTGCGGCTTGTCTTCCACACAGCGATAGTCTATTCTATTCAGACTTGTCCTTCTCCTCTGACCAAGAATCATGGAGCAAGTTCGCCCCTTTCCTCACCCCTCTGGGCCTCTGTCTCCTCAGACAACATTAGCACAGATTGATATCACAGCTACAGCTCAGTCATATTTTAATTCCTCTCGCCATGCTGAGGGCTGCCGGCTCCCGGGGATGCAGATTCAAGGGTTGGCTGCTGTGTTGTTGTCACTTTCCCACAGTCCTGCCCTCTGGCTTAAGCGGTGTGAGGGAGCAAAGGGGTAGACCTCCTTATCTGAAGTGCACGACTATGAGTTACCCCAGACAGGGGGCAGGAAGAAAAGAAAGGAAGGAGGAAAGGAGGGAGGGAGAGAAGAGGGAAGGCAGGGGGTAAAGAAGGAAGGGAGGGATGGAAGGAGGAGAAAAACGAGGGAGGGAGGAAAAAAGGAAGGGGAAGAGGGAGGAAGGAAGAGACAGAGGAAGAAAGGGAGGGAGGGATGAAGGGAGGCAGAGAGGAAGGGAGGGAGGAGGGAGGGAGGGAGGGAAGGAAGGAAGGAGGGAGGGAGGGAAGGAAGAATAGGAGCAGGGAAGGGAAAAGGATAGGGGCAAGGGGGGAAGAAAGGAAAGAAACAGAAGGAAGGAGGGAAGAAAGGGAGGGAGGGAGGAAAAGGAAGGAAAGAAAGAAGGGAAGACGAGAGGGAGTAAGGGAAAGGAGGGTAGGAAGGGACTGAAGGATGGAGGGAGGGAGAAAGGGAAAGAAGGAAGGGAGGAAGGAAGGGAGGAAGGGAAGGGAGGGAGGAAGGAAAGGAAAGGGAGGGAGGGAGGAAGGAAAGGAAAGAGAGGGAGGGAGGGAAGTTCAGGATATTGTTGGCCATATTCTCTCAGACCAAGGTGTCTCATCAGCTCCGGGATGCAGGACGAGGAGGGCTAGCCTTGGCTATCTTGGTTCACAGGCCATCTCAGTCTTGCTCAAATCTGCCTCCTCTACCCTCCTCACTCACGACAGTGCTGTTGAGACTGCACCATAGCTCCCACTGGGCTGCCGGCAGAGAATCAGGCTGCGTCTGTGGAACAGATGCCATCCATGACAGGGCTTGGAGGAGGCTGGGGAACCATAAAATTCTCTGCAGCCCGAAGCAACATCCCCTGCTGTTTATCTGCTATTAAATCTCAACTCACTCAGGTTCTGGGATTCAGTCTTAGGGAATGATGAAGTTGCATCTGCCCTTGCAAGGGGCTGAGCGGAATGAGGGGCCATTTCCTTGTCTATCTCATTCCAACGCCATGCAGGCAGTAGAGAGACATTGATTTTTTTTTCCCTTTCAATTTTTTTTCTGGCTGCAGCCAAATGAGGTCAGAAGTTAAATTGGTCCTTGGAGGTAAAAAGCAGCTGCATTCATCCCCCTTTCTGCTGACTTTTGCTGTAGAGCACTGAGTTTCCTTTTCTGTTTTCTTTACAGATTCAATACCGAAGGGGCTGGGAAGAAATTATCTCCCTGTGGAACCCCTGGGGCTGGGGCGAGGCCGAATGGAGAGGGCGCTGGAGTGATGGGTATGGCTTCTGGAAACCTCTCTCCATCCTTCACAGAGCGCTTGGTGTCGGTAGAGCCTCCTGCCCATGAGAGCAGGGGCTATCTAGCCACTGCGCATCTCACTGCAGGCCTGTCCAGCTCACACCTACACGTGGCTATCGGTCCATCTCACGCTCCTGTGATGCCATCCGCCAAGCAACTATGGGGCACCTACTGTGTACACCCTGTACTAACTGCACTGTGTTAAGTGGGTGTTGTGAGGTATATATGGATGACAAGACCCAGTGCCCACCCTCCAGAAGGTTACAGTCTACAGCAGGGAATCCACATTCCTAGAATTAGTAAAAGTGGCGGGAGGCAAGGCAGGCAGGAGCCAAGCCCCGACTTGCCAAGACACAGATGGAGAGAAGGAACTGCATCCCTTGGAGGGACCCATGGGATTCTGATCCTGAGCATGTCACATCATCAGGGTGGAAAAGGTGTCCTAACTGGGGGCAGTTGGGGAAACTGATGCAAAGATCTGGATGATGTTTTTGTCCAATCTACTCAGCTCACCAGTCTTGCCCTACTGCTCTGGATGCCCATGAGTACTCGGCGCCTGGGATATAAATGAAAAGCTGTGCCTGCCCACACTTAGATCAGGAGGGACAGGAGCTAAGATGTCCCATGGGGGCCCAGCTGTGTGGTCAGTGCTTTCCCCAGGGAACTGGGCTGGCATTTCCCAGCTGCCAGAGGGGTGGACCCCTAGGCCCCCAGCCCCTTGCTGACTATGAAAGAGACAGTAGTCCTGAGAGGACAGAGGGGCCGCAACAGGTTACTTGCTCCTCTGGGCAGCCAGTGAGGCTCAGCCTGGTCGCATTCCTCCAGGGTCTGTGTCCATCCGTGAAAAATGTCGTGACACAGCAGCTGCTGCATCATCGCCCGTGGGGCTGGGGGTGGGGAACATGATCTGAAAGGAAGTGCAATCCATTTGGAACAGGAACGAGCCCAGCACACAGTGAAATCAATACAGTGAGGACGGTGCTTTCTGGAAGGTGAATGCAGAGCCAGCCAGTTCTAGGCCTGATGCCCCAGGCTAAGCTGTGGCAGGACCGCTCCGATCCCCCATGACCTTGGCACCCCTGGGCACTCAGCCAGTGTGGGATGAAAGTATGATTGGGATGGAGGGCGAGGTAAGCGGAGATGGAATAAGGGATGAAACAGCACAGTGAATTCCTAGAATAAACCTAACTGTGACCTTAGATGCCCCTGCGAGAATCGGGCAGCCGAACCCCCTCCCTGCCCCCGTTTCTCCTCTCTCACCTCTATTCTTTCTTCCTTCCCAGGTGTATCCTTTGCCCTTTCCAATACAAATCCTAATAACCTCTGGCCTTTTCCAGTTCTCCTTCCCAGTCATTACTCCAAGTTGCCAAATATGTCCCAGAGGGTGACAGGATCAGCCAGCACCCCTGATTTGAGGCTGCCTCTTGGGATAGAAGTAGAGGGAAGGCAAATGACAATGACAGATTCCCTGGGGTAGGAGAAGAGGCAATATATTCACAATTGATAATTTGCCCGTGTTTCCCATGCTAAATATCAAATGACCAGTGAAGGCAACAGGGGACACCAGGATTTGGGGAAGAGAAGCTTCCCGTGGGCTGGCATGTTCAGGGAAAGCTTCATGGATGGGACTGAACTTGAGTTGGCCTTGTGGCAGAGGAAGTATGACTCACTTCAGAAGAGATCACTAGATAGGAGGGGGACGCATAGGCTATTGCACCCAGCTGGGAACATTGATAGTCTGTTCCGGGCCAACAAGCCGGCCTGAGGCAGAGGAAACTGGGAGAGAGAGTGCTGGGAGCTGACACAGGACAGCCTGATGCCGGAAGTCTGGATTTATCCCCTGCAGGCATGGGCATAAATGAAGGCTTTTGAACATGGCCGTGATGTTTGCAGAGCAGGGACTGGGGGAGACGGATCTAGCAGAACCTGTTCTGTTGGATCTCGTATTGTACCTTGGCTGACTGCTGAGGGTCGCCACTTTGCACCAGAAACCAGGCTGGAAGGAAGTGACGGGGACTGCATAATCACTGTCTCCAAGCAGGTGGTCGATTTCTTCCCTACTTTTTAGGAATGGAGATGGATGGAGAGCACCGGATGGTCTAATCTCAGCCATAATTAAAATTTCAGTCGCACACACTTAAAGGCAAACTTGCATGAATCAATAGCGTATTGATCTACACTACATTTATTCTCCCTCACACATTGCAGAAAATGTAATTATCACTTAATTATAAAATTGCCATTTTACAATACCACATCTGACTGCCTCAGCCTGCAGCCAGAAGCCTGAGTGGTGGCCCCTGCCTTGCTGTCCTAGCACAGAGGGGACCCAGGCTCCCCATGCAAGCTCATCCAGGAGAAAGGTCTCATTGAGCTTTTGTGCCTCTGAAACCCATTGCTTACAAGCATGCCTCCCCTCTAAGGAGTGGACTGAAGGAGCAGCTGCTCCCTTCTGCTTGTGAGGGTCTCTTCCTCACCAGAGACCCAAGGACTGGCTTCTGGAACACATCGTTCCAACGAAGTGGGCAGCATTAATTAATTAAGCAAACAAAAAATCACTGTATGCTATTAGGCATGCAATTACTTTTGCACCCACCTAATACATGCCAAGGCATGGGCAAAACACCTGTGATGATAGGATGGCCAGCCAGGCTCAGGAATCTCATGGTTCTGGGAGTCTAGTGAGACATAGCAACCAATACACAAAGTAATGGTAACACAGTGGGCTATGGAAGCTCAAAAGACCTGGAATAGAGGGCATTTGGGGGCCAAGCAAGGCTTCCCAGAGGCAATGCCCTTTAAGAGGAAAGATGAGTAAGAGCAGGTTACAGAACTGAGAGGAGGAAGAGGGCGCCAGGTGCAGGGGGAGCATCAGGGTGAAAGTTGGGCTTGGGGGGGTGGTGTTTTAAGGAAATGAAGACACTATTGCTGGAGAGTAGAATTCAAGAGTGGGGGTAAGGTGAGAAAGCAAGAAACTGGTAACATCGGAGAGGGTGGCAGAGGACAAAGTTCTCTTTAAGGAGTGTGAACTTCACCTTAAGAATAATATGGAACCACTGATAGGTTTTAAGTAGGGAAATAATATAATCAAGTTTACATTTTAGAAAGATCATTTCAATGGCAGTGTGGGAACGGATGGGAAAGTGGGCAGAACTGAGTTCAGGGAGACCAGGTGGATATCCAGAGGGAAGGGCAGGGAGCCTGAACTAGGGTAACAGCAGGAAGGATGGAAGTAAGTGCCTGGCTTTGAGAGGGGTGTAAGAGGTAGGATCAATCAATGAATGCTATTTGATGATTGTTTGGATGTGGGGGTGTGAGAGAGGGACTCCTCATGTTCTCGCTCAGGCAATAGGAGGTGGCAGAGGATGGGTACAGTCAGGGACAGGTTGATTTGAGGTCACTATGGGACTCTCTTGGAAATGTGGGGTGAACTACAGCATAAATCCATCTGGACTTCAGGAAAGAAGACCAGGCTGGGGACAGATGTTTGGAAGTCGTCAACAGGTAGAGAATAACTGGGTCCTGTCCTAGGTAGGATGACACTTGCCCTGTGCTCCCCAGGAATGGTGACATGTACAGAGGGTCCCTGTTGACCCACACATGGTTGAGAAAAAATGCACTGGAAAATCTCACCCTGTGGTTTGTGTGTCCATGCTCAGGTCTCAGGAGTGGGAGGAAACCTGTGATCCGCGGAAAAGCCAGCTACATAAGAAACGGGAAGATGGCGAGTTTTGGTATTTACCCTTCTTATACAATGGTGTTTTAAATCTTTTATTGCCCAAGTCTTCAATCCCTACCCTTTTCCCTGAACATTTACGAAGGTGGAAAATAGCTTTGCAGAGACCTGTTTAGAGGGAGCCTATTTTCTCTACCAAGACACAAAAACTTTGGATGAAAAATTATTGTAGGCTCCCTCTTGGTGGGAAAGTTATTTCAGTTATGAAATGCTGAACTTTCCAGGACATTTTAATAGTAAAAGAGAACATTGGCACCAAAGGCTTGAAATCTGTGGTTTCCTGGAAGCTAGGATGCATGGTTGTCATGCCCATATCCTCTGTACCATCTTGCTGGGACCCTCGAGCTCCCCAGTTTCCTCTAGCATGACGTCAAAAACAGCAGCAGGATGCAGACTCTATAGCTCTGGGTGAGACATGGACTTCATCACCCAGAAGTCACACAGGACTAGATGTTTTGAAAACACGTTCTCGGCCATATGCTCACATCTTAGAGCATGACGTGTACATTCCTCAGAGGGTTGTCTGGTTTACGGAGTGATGCATTTCAATGGAAATTAGCATGTGTGGAAAGGAGCATGGATCTAAATAATTAAGAATCAGAGGGACAAATATAAATTAGAAGGAAATCTTTCCCAGTATCTCTGGTTTAATCACAGTAGGAGGTGGGATTTTAGGTGTGGAATCCATTTTAGGCTGATAAAGACCTCAACAATAAATTTGGCAAAACACCCTAGGGGAAAAGCAATTTTCCTAGCAGCTTAGAGGACCCAGAGCAGAGAGAGACTGGCCGTCGTCCCACTGATCATGAAAGGGCTCACCATCGGATCAATGGGTTAAGGAGATGGCAGTAAATGATAAAGCTGCTGCCAGGTGACCGGCAGACCCCAGAACTTGACTGTGTCCTTGCCTTGCCCTCCCAGCCACTGGAGCAGAAGGACTGAAAAGATAGAAGGGTGCTTGATGGTGAATGAGCCAGGATCAGACACTGGCCTCTGGGCAGGACAGTGGCTATGCTGTGAAGTCATAGGAACCCCCACCCTGGGGACACAACCCCTGGTCACTGAGTGATGTATATCTGTTTTTAACAGGATGTCGTGTCAAGATTTCCAACAGAAATTCATCGCCATG
This sequence comes from Homo sapiens, assembly GCF_000001405.40. Taxonomy (NCBI): domain Eukaryota; kingdom Metazoa; phylum Chordata; class Mammalia; order Primates; family Hominidae; genus Homo; species Homo sapiens. The sequence goes on along the minus strand of NC_000002.12, from coordinate 30,753,158 downwards.
TTTATATGTAGCGAAATTCCAATTACCCTGGACCATGGAAACACACTCCACGAAGGATGGTCCCAAATAATGTTTAGGAAGCAAGTGATTCTAGGAAACACTGCAGGTAATCATGACGCTGGTGGTCACACTGCCCAACTGGAAGCTGGCTGCCCCAGCCCAGCCCTTGCATGGCTTCAGCTCTCTCTGGTCCTTGATTCTGGACCATGAGCCTGAAGCTGAAAGGAGGGGAGTTTGTCAGCATGAAGAGACAGCGACTGCTCCTCTAAGTAAAATGATTGCTGTAGGGGCCAAGTTGGAGAATCTCTGATGTGATTCTCCCCTAGCCCTCCATGCTGTGCCAATATCCTTCCACTAACACCCTCCCGCTTCCTGGGAGGAGAGTGGGCTCACCACCCTCCAGTAAATGTCCAGGACAAGGGAGAGCGCTGCAGAAAGAACACAGGAAAAGTGTCAGGGCCTAGGTTGGACCCTTGTCTTTGCCACATACTGGCCTTGTGATGCTGGAAACATAATTGGTCACCCTGTCCTCAGCCTCCCCAAGACTCAGCAGTGGAAATAGTCATACTTGTCTGTCCTTGAGCCTAGAGAGCACTACCTAGACACAAGGGAGACTATCCCTGCCCTGTCTTGGCAGGTATGTCCCTGCTGAAGTCCCACAGGTAGGCGCATCTGAGCCTGTCTTTGAGCTCCCCTGAGATGAATCTTGTTGATCATGGCCTTGGGAAAGTCACATTCCCTCCCTGTCCCTCTCATTCCCTGTTTGTGGCATTGTTGAGTGAAATAGCTCCCTGTGAAGACGAACAAGAGTGTGCTTATATATCTTTGATAAAAGAGGCTGCGTAAACAATGCATTTGTGTGTGTGAGTGTGTTTGTTGTGTGTTTGCACCCAGGGATGCATATGCATCCCTTCCTCTGGGCACCTGCCTGTCGGGATGGTTGGTTTGAATGAGCCCATAACCCAGGGTGTCCCTCTTTTTTACCTCCAGGCTCTAGTGATCTACAGAACTTCTGCCCAGAGAGCCTTGTCACCAGGAGGTCTTGGGCAGAACCTCAAGAGCTGTTGAGTCACTCTTGGGCAGCAAATTTACTGATTCCTCTTCCTGAGCTGCACCTCTCTGATTATAGGGCCAAGGCCCTCTCCCCTGGATACAATGCTTGTCAATGAACTAACAAAACCTTTACATCAGGGCCATTTTTAGTAATACGTTACAATGGAAAAAGAAAAGAGAGCCAGTGATCGAGCACCTGCTATGTGCTGCAGATGCATTTTAATGCACCATCTTCTCCAGTCCTCGCAGCACGTCCATGCTATGATGGTCCTCTACGCCTCCCCACTCCCTTGCAGAGCTCCCCCATTGTCAGTCCAGTCTTCTGATGTGTATCAATTCATCTCTATCTTGACTTATCTTCATTCTTCCATGTATTTGAATCTAATGGTTTTCACATTAGCTCGCTCTCTCTTATTCTGGCTTTGATAAGCATGCTTGGATAGAAGAGTACTGTAATTGCCATCTCACTGCCTGTTTTCCTGTCTCTAGTTGTGCTTGGGTGGTTCATGCCATTTCAAGGCTCTGATGGTTACCACCAATGCATAAGCTCACATGTAGCTGGGAACTCTGGAATTTCACTTATCATTATAAAATAGACTTTGACTTTACAGTTTAAGAAATATTTTTCACACAGTAGGGACTATACAACCTCTCCTGTGTTTAAGAGGAGGAAACCAAGGTTTAGAAAATTAACTTGTTTCTCAAGTAGTAACTGTGGGGATTGGGATCCAGGCCTTAGGTCTCCAATCCAGAGTTCACAACACAACCCCACAGAACTCTCTGCACTGGACATGGCCCTGCCCAGGAGTCCCAGGAGTGGAGCTGAGCTCTAGTAACAGCTCTTTCTGATGCAGGAGGACCTCGGAATGATGCTCAATTCAACTTCTCTGTGCAAGAGCCAATGGAAGGCACCAATGTTGTCGTGTGCGTCACAGTTGCTGTCACACCATCAAATTTGAAAGCAGAAGATGCAAAATTTCCACTCGATTTCCAAGTGATTCTGGTAAGGCAGCCTGCTTCAGGGCTTTCCCTTGTAGAAATTTAGTGTAAACCTTGAGTTGGGGAGAACAGCTCTGGCCAGGCTGGGAGATTTGACTGCACCACAGCCTTGGAGATAAAGCCCAAAGAGGCTGTAGCATTCATGCAGTCCAAGTCTAAATGTGCAAAAAATCTGAGGCCAGAAAGATGACACTCGATCATGATTACAGTGGGACTCACCTCCTGCCCGTGTCGCCTGTCAGCGTTTTCTGGGATGCTGCAGAATCTAATGCTTGCTACTCAAAAAGTGGTCTGGGCCAAGACCAGCTGTTCTAACAAAGCAGATTCTGGGCTTACTCCAGACCTTCTAAATCAGAATGTTTAAGGACAGAGCCTGAAAATCTGCATTTTCATAAGCTCTCCAGAGGCTTATGCACATTAAAGTTTGAGAATCATTGGCTAAACTTTGGAAGTTGCTTAGGAAAAAAATGAGCTGTCTAAACTATTCTGAGTATAAATCCAGGAGGGGAGGTGTGTTTTTCTCTTACGTTTAGACCAAAGTCGAGTCATCGTCTGGTGGCTGGCATGCAAACTTCTGCTTGGCTACCCTGAGGCCAGGTTTCCTTTCCACCTAGGCTCTCTCTCCTTTCATGGTTTTATGAAACTTTTATTTTAGGTTTGGGGGTACATGTGAAGGTTTCTTACATAGGTAAACATGTGTCACAGGGGTTTGTTTTACAGATTATTTCATTACCCAGGTATTAAGCTCAGTACCCAGTAGTCATCTTTTCTGCCCCGCTCCCTCCTCCCACCCTCCCCACTCAAGTAGATCCCAGTGTCTGTTGCTTCCTTCTTTGTGTTCATAAGTTCTTATTATTTAGCTCCCACTTATAAGTGAGGACTTGTGATATTTGCTTTTCTGTTCCTGCATTAGTTTGCTAAGGATAATAGCTTCCAGCTCCATCCATGTTCCCAGAAAAAAACAGCTGTTTTTGTGGCTGCATAATATTTCACAGTATATATGTACCACATTTTCTTTATCCAATCTGTCATTGATGGATGGGCATTTAGGTTGATTCCATGTCTTTGCTATTGTGAACAGTGCTGCAATGCACAGTCACATGCCTGTGTCTTTATGGTAGAATGCTTTATATTCCTTTGGGTATATACCCAGTAATGCGATAGCTGGGGGAATTCATTTTTTTTAAATATCATTTAAAAGAAAAAAGCTACAAAAGAAAATCTGATCTCTCTACTCCCTGCTATTCCTCCAAACAATTCACTGCATCCCCCAAATCAAGTGAAGGTTCTCAAACCATACACCGCACAGCTTCTTTGCACTAACGTGGATAATTAAGATCATGCACACGCTGGGATCCTCTCTCCTCATAATAGAGTTGAAGAGACTGAGGCCCCGAAAAGTGAAGTGACATGGTCAGAGTTAATGGCAGAGCTGAGACTGGCTTCCAGAGGTCCCCCAAACCTTCAGTCAAACACACAAGTCACCTTTCTGAGCACCAGGGATATCAGAGGTCCTTTAACAGACTGGGCTGGAGCTTGAATTACAGGGTCTCTAGGAATGATTTCAGTTTCTGTTGACTGAGCTGAAGGCAAAATTCACAGCCTTGGGTGTCAGTGCATTTATGGACAGACACGGCTCCTGGGTACCCCAGACATGGCTGAACAATCCTATGCATTGGCTGTGGTTTACACTAATAAGAGGGCCTCACAGTGAGAGAATACAGATTGTGTCTCTCTAATCAGAAATGCTTTGGACGAGACGTATTTTGCATTTGAGATTTGGAGGATTTTTGCATTATATACTTACTGATTCAGCATCTCTAGTCCAAAAATTCAAAATCCAAAATGCTCCAATGAGCATTTCCTTTGAGTATCATGTTGGTGTTCAAAAAGTTTTGGATTTTGGAGCATTTGCATTTCAGATATTCAGGTTAAGGATGCTCAACCTGTACTTCAGAAGTACAAGCATGTTCACATTCATTGTCTCAAAAGCACAACTAGCCCCGCTTTTGTAGGTGTGGAAGCTAAAGCTCAGAGAGGAATGACCTATGCAAGGTGCACCTTGGAGGTGACAGGGGTGTTTGATACCAGAACTTAGGGTCTCAGCTCCAGGGCTCTCAGTAGGGCTTAGGTGCATGCCTTTCTGGTGATACTCATGGCTCCAAAAACCACAAAGATTCTGGCTCTAGCAGAAGGAGAGCTTTCGTGTTCTGCTCTCCTTGACCATATTTCCATTTCCCAATTTCAGGAATTCGGTGGAGAGAAATCACTGGGGTTTAGCACAGTAGTTTTGAGGTGCCTCAAACCCGCTGATGATATCAAAGAATATCTCTTAAGGATGCAGTAGTACACCGTTGTTATTTTCATCACACCTGGTACCTGAACACCTTTTCCACTTTAAGGGAATCCTGGTGGGAGGCAGGGCCCAGCCTCCTACTGCAAGCAGCTAGAGGCCAAATATCCCCTCAACCAAGCCCTTGGATGCAAAAGTTGTAGACTTGTGACCCAGGCCTGCCCAATTAGATGCTCCCTTCATCTCCCCCTCACCCCTCACACACACACACACTCAGTCACTCAGAGCCTTGGCATTCAAGGAAATAACCAAAACAGGTGGGAACAGCTGAGGATTATTTGCTGTGTAGCCATCTTGTCTGGCCCCTGCCCACCTCTGCACTGCATTTTCTAGCATCCCATCGACGTTGTGAGCTGTCCTTCCAAGAAGCATCTTTCAGCCCACCCCAGCCTGAGATAGTTTCCAGGGCTTTCAGACGAGAATTCCTGCTGACTCTGGTGCCTTCTAAGAGGACCCTCAGATTTTCCAGCTCTCACCTCTGGGAAGAAAAGGCTAAAGGCAGAAGGAGAGATTTGTGAAAGGCTGAGAAGGAACTGAGGCCCCTGGTCTGCCCAGCCAGGACTGACCAGGTCAAGCACCAAAGAGGCCTACTAGAAACATCTCAGCCAACTCTTCCTTCTTCTGAGCTAAGACAGAAGCCCACAGAAGGATCAGAGCTGCCCCGGCACACACGCAACTTCTGAGGCTCTGTTCACATGGGTGACCATGGGCCTTGTGTTGATTCACCCAAAGTCTTCACAGTTCAGGAACCCTACCAAGATTGTAACCACCCCATTTTTAAAATGACATCAAGCCCACTTTCCTACTTTTCTGCCAGAGATGTGTTACTTCTCACCATTCACCAATTTGCTGAAGGAACTCTCAGACCCAAGAGCTCCTCAGGCTTCCTGGAGATCCCAGCAGATCTTGCAAGATCCTGATTGAGTTAAATGTCAAAGAACAGTTCAGACCTGGACAACTCAAATGACACTGGTTGCTTTCACAGTTCAGCTGAGAAACAACAATGTACCTGCCAGCAGCCAGGCTCTCAGAAGGCTCCAGGGCTCAAATGGAGTTCCAGGGCTCCAGTGCTGACCTGCTGATATGATGATGCTCCAGCCCTGGCATGGGTCTGTGACTCCCCAGTTGCTGTGGGAGCACTGCTCTGCTTTATGTCCAACCAGACCTTGATGGGATATGAATAGGCAGGGAGAAGACAGGACAGTGAAAAGGATGAGGGTGGATGAGCCATTTCATCCTCACCTCCCTCAAAGTTCCTCCCCAAGGCCTGGACTTTCCACCTTCCTCCCAGCTCACCCTTGGCCTCCAGAGAAGTCGGCTAAGAGGTCTGTACACATGGGTGGGGCCCAGTGTCAACAATGGGAAATAATCAAGCCAACTAAGGAAGACATCACCTGGTGGTGACAGGGCTTGACTACAAAGCAAGCAGCACAGCTTCCCCGATTCCCAGCTCTGCTACTTAAACTGCTGAGCCTCAGTTTCTACACCCATAAAATAGGGAGCCCAGCATCGGCTTGCAGGATTATTGTGAATATCCAACACATTACATAAAAGTGCTTTGCAAACCGTAGAGAGGCTTACAATGGAACTGCATTCTCAGGTATTCCTTCTACTACGTGAAAAGACTGGAACATGGGTATCTCCCCATTCATAGGCACACAGACATTCCTACAAGCATCAGGGGTGGGAGTGCAAGAACGAATTCCCATCTATTTACAGTGGCCTGATAGAATAAAAGAAGTTGACTTCTCAGGGAAGCTCCCGATGTTAGGGAGCTTACATTTGCGCCAGGTTCTGTGCTATCTGTCAAAATCTCCCCCTTCCTTTCAGTGCGATCATCATTGCTGTGAAGAGTAACCACACCTTTCAGGGCTGACCAAAGAATACCTCCTCCTCTCAGACACCTCCTTTTCTGCCTCAGTTTCCTTCCTCTTGCTGTTCTCTGCAATTGAGTGGGTTTCATTTTTCACAACCTCACACAGAGCATGAGTGACCAGTCATCCCAGTTCACCTCTAGGTGTGCCAAGGAACAGGCAGGCCACACAAGGAAGAGGAACGTGTTCCACTTATAAATTTTTTGAGGTTATCCTCATTGATCCATTCCATAAAACTATCAGAGGAAATCTTGACACCCAGCAGATCACCAAATCTATCCACAAGCATGGGGAGATGTGTGGGCTGACATCCTCAGGCTGCAAGAGCCATGGCCTTGGAAAGGGCCGTAAGTTCTACCACGCTATTGGTGGTTCTCACCATGCAACTTGGAGAAGGTGCAATATTCTCCAGCTCTAATGTTATCACAGATATAAGTAACGTTTGTAAAATTCATACCTAATAAATTTAGAACAGTCATGTCTGCTTACAGCTTTATGTGTCTGTTAAAACTCGTCTGCAGATTGGTCCATGAATGCTTTGTTGAGTCATGAAAGTTAGAGTGCAATAGTGTTTGAAGACTCTAAGTGATGGTGTATCTTGTTTCTAATAAGAAAAATTTCTTTTGTCTTTACTTCATCTTGTTAGACAGTGATATGTCAGTGTTTAAAACATCCTTTGTGGTGGCCAGGCACAGTGGTTCACGCCTATAACCCCAGGATTTTGGAAGGCCAAGGCAGGCAGATCCTGAGGTCGGGAGTTCAAGACCAGCCTGACCAACACGGTGAAACCCCGTCTCTACTAAAAACAAAAATTAGCCAGGCATGGTGGCACACATCTCTAATCCCAGTTACTCAGAAGGCTTGGGCAGGAGAATTGCTTGAACCCAGGAGGCGGAGGTTGCAGTAAGCCGAGATTGCACCATTGCACTCCAGCCTGGGTGACAGAGCGAGACTCCATCTCAAAAAAAAAAAAAAAAAAAAAAAATGCTTTATGGCATAACAGATATAAAATAAATTCTTTAAAAGAGAGGAAGAAAAGGAGAAGGAATGCAGGGATGAAACCAATGAGCCAAGCTGTTCGGTTCTGCTTGCCTTTTTGTTTACGTCTGAGTTCCTAAATCTGCCTTTCTCCCTGTTTCCAACAGGCTGGCTCACAGGTATGGCTCAGCGTCGTCCTTGCCCTGCGCCTCTGCTGCTGTCTGCTGGTGGAGTGTTAGGCCACTTCCAACGCCCATGGCCTCCACGTGTTCAGTGGCTGCAAATTCAGTCTCGCTAAGTCTTACATCAGACACAGGCCTAGAATCCCCAAACAGGTTCACAAAGCAGGAGAATAGTTAGGTGTCCTGGTCTGAAGCTTCGACCCTTTGAGCTGTTCTCTTGCTAACATTCAAGTGAAACCATCCTCAGGCCCGTGGCCTCTGATAGAGAAGATTGATGGAGATGGTTCCTTTTTATTTAAGATGAGAGCAGCACTAAGGGGTACCTTGGAAAGATCTTTAGCCTCCTAAAGTAGTCAGTCCCCAAATCCTCCATAAGCAGGATGCATGCTCTCCAAATGCAGCTTCAAGGTACATCCTTGAGCCCGTCTTGCAAGAAACTGCCACCCTCCTAAACAGATCATCTGGCTCAGGATTGGTGAAAGGTGACTTGCCCATATGAGGAAGGATGGAGAAAGACAGGTGGAGTTTGGAATACCTATCCTCACAGGCACTCAGACCCACCTCTCTGCCCATGGCTGAGAGTGCTGAGCCACCAAGAGGGAGGTGCATCTGCCTGGGGACCACAGATGAAAGAGAGGAGCAAGATGTGGCCACAGACAACAAAGAGTGATTACAGCACCTCCAGGCCTTCCAGGGGAGCCTGCCTGTGACAGTGGTGGCCCAGCCACAGAGCGGGGGTCAGGATCTGACTCTGGTCCCTGACATCCCAGCTATGAAGTGGAGGGTTGGGATGGGCATTGAGAGAAGCACTCAGGTGCAAGGAGCCATCAGCGTCTCAGGTCCCAGAGCTGGAGAACAAAGTGGCACTTAATCCAGGAAAAGCACAGAACCCATCCCTAGAACTAGAGTCAGGTCTGTGCATGACCAGTCCTGGGTGTGTGGTTTGTTGATGCTGGATACTCTAAGCAATTGACCAAGAACCCCCACGTTGTTCCCCCACACTCACACTTCTCACTGCCACTGAGCAAGTCTGTTCTGAAGGATCAGGAGCCTGGACAGGGCTATGAGGGGTCAACAGAGGGAGCAGGACAAGATAACGGGTGAGCAGGGAGACTGTTGCCTTCTAATTATAGGAGGCATGCTGCCCACACACCTCTGCATGCCCACTGCCTCCCCATGCACCCACACATGCATGCACACTCGCCCATACCCAGAGCCACGGGACACTGCTGACCCTCTGGAGAAGAACTGATTCCATCATTGCTTTTGCCATAAGGGCCCAAGCAAGTCAGGCTCCCAAACCTGCTGAGGCTATTGTTAATGTCAGCAGAATCGCGTTGGAGATGCCACCCTCCCATACCCCTGGGGCAGTGGCCTATCTCCTGTTTTACCTTGGAGCCCAGCCCTGTCCCTACCCCTGAAAAGAAACTTTCCCCTTTCCCGTTTTCCCTGCAAGGCATAGCTCATAAATAATCATTTCCTGCTGCATAACCATTCGAAATGGAATCCCTATGCTTGACTATAGTGGGGAAAATTTGTTTAGCAAGGGGTTTTCATTATATAATATGTATGTGACATCTGGTAATAGGAACTGCATTATATTTATTGTTTTATCTCTAAGAAAACATTGAAATAAAAGGAAAATGATCAGGGCCCATTATTCTCCAATGAGAAGGAATCTCGGGGCTTCACTGGAGAGATGAAACAGAGAAAGTGAAAAGAATTCAATTCTGTAATGGTATAGCAGTCCAAAGTATTCTGCTAAACATTCAGGAGAGAAGGGGCTTTAGGGGCCCCAGAAGAAAATCAGTGTCAAAATGATGTCACTAGTTTCCATGGAAGTTTTCTCTCTATATAAGCAGGGAGAGAAAACTCAGAAACTCAGGATGCTGTTAGACCCAATGAGATGAAACTGTGTGTGGTATTTCCTTGCATCCATTGTGTCCAGGGTCTAGATGAAATGACAGGCTAAACACTACTGCTTTTTGAGACTTCAGCTGAGCACTGTCTCCATTTATAGAGCCTGTAATGTTATCTTGGTGAATGGAGACGGTCTAGAAGGTGGTGGGTCTTTCTTGGTGACTGGGGTCCATGCACAGAGGAGGCTTTCTCACAATCATTGTGTTTCCTCTAATTCCAGCGGTTCCGGGAGAAATTTCCACCCGTGTTTTTTTCCTCGTTCAGAAACACTGTCCAAAGCTCAAATAATAAATTCCGCCGCAACTTCACCATGACTTACCATCTGAGCCCTGGGAACTATGTTGTGGTTGCACAGACACGGAGAAAATCAGCGGAGTTCTTGCTCCGAATCTTCCTGAAAATGCCAGACAGTGACAGGTACAGAACCCTCTGGGATTGTAAATGTTTTATTCTACTTAACTTTATAAAAACACATTGTGTAATTATGGGCAGTTCTCTGTGCATTCGTGCAGCCTGTGCTATGTCACTGGGGACATGATATTGGCCCCACTCTAGAGCAGCTCACCATAAAGGGGGAGCGAGAAAGTCTATGAACCAAGAACCAGACCACAAACAGGATGGGTCCATTGCCAGATGGAAATGCAAAGTGGCACGGGAGGACTGAGTGGCAAGAGGGACTGAGGAAGGCTTCTTGAGGGAAATGACACGTGAGCTGGGCTTTGAAGAAAAACATAATTTAATAGTTTAAAAGGGAAGGCGATGGTAGCCATGGGAAGGTAGGTAGAAGAAAAAAGCATGAATGGCGGGAGGGAAGTGGCTGTGCACAGGGCTGCTTGGAGAGTAAGTAGCATCGGCATCCATACAGGAAGGTGGCATTTGGCCAGCATATCACATGGCCTGAAATGTGGGGTATAGCAGGGAGACAGTGAAAGATGGGCCTGAAAGAAAGAGTCCATCATGGAGGGTCTTCCATGCCAACTTGATCATTCAAGACTGGGACCAGCAAGTGCTCACCCCACTGGGCCCCTTGTCTCCTCTTGGGCCCAAGACAGACATTGCCATCATTATGGCAGTCTTTGCAGCTGAGCATTGGTGAGACCTTCTAAGTCCAGCATGCCAGGCCGCCATCATACCACCAATCAGAGATGGAACCTAAGGCAGAGCCTATCTGCCATACTGACAATGGGGGTTGCTGGAAGTGTGTATCGGGTTGTGGAAGGAACCATTTACTAAACAGTTAAAGACCAGACCATTTCCAGCCAAAAGGCTGGGCTGGTGGCCACGGTGCTGTAGCTGCTCACTTCGTGTCCTGCGGTGCTGAGGGTGCCCCATTCAGGAACTTGGCATCAATATCCAGTGCCACCTGGGTGCCCTCTATATGCAGGCCCCCTTTGAGTGGTGAGCTGGTCATCTTTGTCACACTGTCCTCTGATTTTCTAGGCACCTGAGCAGCCATTTCAACCTCAGAATGAAGGTAGGTATGCAGCAAGGTTTGGCTGGCGAGCCTCATTGGCCCCATCCCATCCCCAAGAGCTTCCGTCTCCTTCTTTACACCTCCCGCTGCCCCCAACCAATGAAAAGAGAGACACCATGATAGGCCGATGAAGGCTCAAAGGGGCGGGGTAGGGGGAGAAGACCAGGCCTCCAAGGCCAGGCTCAACCCAGCCCTCTTCCTTCCACAAACTTCAGTTTTCTCATTCCCCAGAAGGCTTTTTCCAACTGCCCAATAAAGACTCTTTCTCAGATCTTGGCAGGGGTTGTTGCACCCTTGCTGTACCAGATGGGTGGCCTCCTTCCCCAGAAGTCTAACATTGACTATTTTCCCTTTGATCCAGGGAAGCCCTTCAGAACATGGCTCCCAACAAAGCATTTTCAACAGATATGCTCAGCAGGTATGGTACCTAGCACCCAGGGGCCTTACGTGGGATTGGAGAAAGGGGACCTGAGGGAGGGACAGCTCTCACAGGCCCTTACTGGGATGCAGAGAGGAGAAGTGACTTGATGGACTATTTTACCTGCCTCTCTTCCTGGATCGTCTCCAGAACTGCTGTGGCTGCCAAGCTCGGTAGAGACGTGGCGCCCCACCCAGTGTCATCCGGGGGACTTCAAGCTGGAATGCAGAGCTTAGAAAGGGAGGGGATAATTATGGGGTGTGAGGTGCATTGCCCTCTAAATCTTTAAACAAGCAATTGGCAGTACCCCGTGAAACCTTTCCTTCTCCTACTCGGCCACCTCCCACCAACCTGGCATCGTTCCTCCCGGGAGCTAGCCAGCTTCAGAAAGCACATACAGCATCCTTGCTGCCAAACCACCTATGTGCACACAGGATTTCCTTAATGGCTTAATAAACTGTTATAAAGAACTCCTTGACTTGTCAGAATAAAATAGCTGCCAGGGGCTCTGCACAATGAGCCTCTTACCGTTAATAATTGTGTTAGTGTGGAAAGTGGAAAGTGATACCGATGATCATCTCTACCCTGCCGCCTTGAACCAGGAAGAGGCCAAGGACAGGAAGGATGGCAGGCCCTGCCTCTGCATTCAGAGGGTTAATGGGGTAGTAGTCACCCAGAAGCAGCCTGGGCCAAAGTAGGGAAAAACTAAGAATGTGGCTGGAATGAGTGGCATGTGTTGCAAAGAGCAGCTGTACACAGGAACACGGACCTCCATGAAGTCAGTACCAGCCCAGGATCCAGGTCCACCATCTGGGCTGATTCAGGAGGCACTTCACTCACTGCATGACAAGGCCGGCCAAGATGACTGCCCTCAGTCTGTAAGCTCCCGAAGGCAGGGATGATATTATATGCATTCCTTGTCCCCAACACTGATCACTGTCCTTGGCCCGAGGAGGTGCTCAGTCATTTCTATTGAATTAAGACAGATCACCTCCCCCAGAGCTGATGCCTGAGTGAATGAAGGTTAGCCCCTGAGGTGGTTAGCAGGGCCGGATTAGGATGCCTGAGACCAAGCTTCCTTCAGTGGCAGGTGGCAAATTCTCACACATGGCCCATGCACCTGTACCTCTAAAATAAAAATGTTTGCCATATGTGAAGATGGGACAGATTTTCTAATCAGGACTTTTCCAAACAACAGCCAAGTTCCTCCTCATAGAGGGTGACTGGTGGCCCATAGGGGGCCTTCGTGGGAATAAGAATAAGACCCCAGTGTGGCATTCTGCCAGATACATGGCTGGGAAGCAGAAAAGAGACTGGATTCCAGCCCCCTTTCACCTCTCAGCCAGGCCCTCTTGAGCAGGGCCCACCTGGCAGTATTCTGTAATCCTACAAACTGTCCTCAGGGTCTGTGTCCTCCAAAGAAAGTTTAAAGCAAAATATTCCTCCATGCACTCACTGTGTCCTCTCTTCTGATCTTTTCTACCACTTTAACTAGATTTAAACTAATACAATGGTTGCCGGGCACGGTAGCTGACGCCTGTCATCCCAGCACTTTGGCAGGCCAAGGCAGGTGGATCGGGAGGTCAGGAATTCGAGACCAGCCTGGCCAGCATGGTGAAACCCCATCTCTACTAAAAACACAAAAATTAGCCGGGCATGGTAGCGCACGCCTGTAGTCCCAGCTACTTGGGAGGCTGAGACAGGCGAATTGCCTGAACCCACGAGGCAGAGGTTGCAGTGAGCCAAGATCGTGCCATTGCACTGCAGCCTGGATGACAGAGCAAGACTCCATCTCAAAAAAAAAAAAAAAAAAAAAAAAAAAAAACCTAATACAATGACTTGATACTACCACCGGTTCTTCCTTCACTGTAGTAGTGGTGACAGCTCTATAACCCAGGGTCTGCCTGTGGGAAAGGAAGGATCCACTTAGACTCTGGGATGAGCTAGGTCTATCCACCAAGTAGCCAGCATTTACCCATCATCCGGACATTACAAGCCCCACTCTAAGCTTTGGGAATCCCAAGGAATAGCTTTTGGGCATCTTGCATTGTGGTGGTTGAGGCAAACATGCAATTTTTTAGGAGACTAAGCAACCCTCACTCTATTCCTACCCTCATCTCCTCAGACTCTTTTGGTTGGTTATGAAGTGCAGGACCCGGGGCAGGCTCTGTCCTCACATGGGAATATGGAGGAAAAAGACACGGTCCATGCCCCAAAGCTGCTTTATAGTGGACGATTCCATGGAAGTTGGAACTCCTCATTAGCATGCTAACTGCTGTTCAAAGCGAGGTGTCCTGAGTCTCTGGAAGAGAAACTCAGTTGATAGTGGGCACTCAACACTAACTTTCCTGATAAAACCCAGAGTGAAATGTTGGTGAAATGACCCGAGGACCATCTTCAGGCATTGGCAGGATGCTTTCCTCAGGGGCATCCTGAGGGGTCATCCTTCTAGGTGAGGACCCCATCTGGACAGGCTCTGGGGCTGTTTTTGCTTCCAGTTCAAGGTGGTAAGGCCAATCCTGGGAGATGGAAGGTGCTCATTCTCAGAAGACCCCCAGGAGGCACCCTATTCTACATGACCAGTGCCACTCTACAGGACCACCTGCTGATAAATCTTTCCAGCGCCAGCTCCCCATGAAAATGCTTTCCCAGGGCGATAGCAGCATAGCATCCCCTCTTCCCTTCCCAGGCTGGACATGAGGAACAGCCGCATATAGAATAGCTCCATGTCTCTGTGAAATTGTCATCAAAGACACTGCCTGTCAACCTGCTGGATGCCCCCAGTATAAAATCAAATGTAGTTAACTGCCCCAGAAGTTGAGGCCAGGAAGAGTTCCTCCCTCCCCAACCTCAATTGCTTCCTGCTCTTAATCCGAAGAAAACCATGATGTCTCCCTTTTTGCTTCAGTGGCTGGGAAAATTAATGCTACGTAATGTGCTCAATGATAGCAGTTTCTCTTAGCCCACATTTCTGGTATTTTTAATTCCTATTATCACACACGTGCACGCACACACACACACATACACACAACACACACACATGCACACAGTAGTCATAGTTTTTCCTAGTCTCTTTCTGGAAGCAGATGGGGAACACATCTAAAGGGTTGAGTTGATTCATTCAACAGTACTTACCCTGAGGGGTTCCCCAGTGCCAGAGATAGTGGCAAGGACTAAACTGCTTTCAGTCCAGTAATAGATAAAGACAGGAATGCAAGGTCACCCACACCAGGGGCCAAGCATCAGGAGTGACCAACACGACAGATGTGCAGGGGAGGGAGTCACTACTATGGCTGGCAGCCATCAGGTAAGTCTTCATGACGAGGGCAAGATGGGTACATTGTGGGGACTAAGTGCTTGGAAATCTGAGTGCTTTTACACGGCAGGCAGATGTGCCTCTCAGATCCTGGCACTGATATAATTCCTGCATTCCTTCCTTGTTTGGATCAGAGGCTGGACATTGATGCCACCCAGCTTCAGGGCCTTCTCAACCAGGAGCTTCTAACAGGTATGAGCAGCCCAAGGGCAAGCTGGCCCCATCCTCCTCCCTGCTGGCAACCCCACCCCACACCCCACTGTCAACACTTCAGTCCTTCCTGTCCTTCTCTCCTCAGGACCTCCAGGGGACATGTTCTCCTTAGATGAGTGCCGCAGCTTGGTGGCTCTGATGGAAGTATCCTTTGCGGTCATCCCTCCCATGCTCTGAGCACCCCTCAGCTCTGTGGGCTTCCCCAGAGACCTAATTAGGACAGTAGGGAACCCTTTTCCCACTCAGTATTTTCTCTTCTTCCCTGTCCTTGAGTTTCTGGGGATTCTCTACTAACTCACTAACATACCACAGCAACAATGATAATAGTTACCATCTATCAAGCACCTACTATGTGCTGATCAGTGTACTGGGGTGTGTGTGTGTGTGTGTGTGTGTGTGTGTGTGTGTGTGTCCTTATAATTCTTGAAGCAATCCCTCTGATACAAAAAAGTATCATCTCATAATACAGTAGAAGAAACAGGAGTTCAGAGAGGTTAAGTAATTTGCCCAGATCACACAGCTAGTCAGGACTCATGCTCAGATTTGAAGTTGGAGCTTTCAGCCTCCAAAGTCGATGCTCTAACCTTATCCTAAACCGCCCCTTTATAGCACCGTTGGGAACTATTTTCCCTTTTACCCATTCACTTCCCACTGGAGGAGTCTCCATTATTTAAATTTCTTACTTCAACAAGTCCCCAATTCAATCAAGATAACTACCACCAAAACATGGAAAACTGCCTGGTCTACACAGCAGTTGCACCCCAGCATTGCTATGCTGCATTCACAGCGGGAGACGCTGGGCAGAGGCAGTTCAGAGACTCACTCCAGGCCCGTGGCTACAAGTGTAGGACCAAGAATTGAACCCCAGACTCCTGACCCTCCTCCTGATTTCCATTCCCCAGTGAGCCATCCTCTTCCTGCGTACCCCTGGCTTGGCAAGCAGAAGAGGCTGACTCCATGAGTGTAGACCCCCAGATGCTGCCCTGCCAGCCCCTCACTCGGCAGTGTGCTGTCTCCTGAGACGCATTGCCCCGCTCCTGCACCGTTGACAAGGCTGAATTGGGACTGTGAAGCCGGCCATTGTGAAACAAGAGGGCTTTTTTGATGAAATCATAAATCAGGCCCTGTCTCTGCTGGCTGTGCTTTGGAATCTATCAGAGACACAGCCCATCTCCCACAGAGGAATCCAAATGGTCCTCACAGTGCCACGGCCCGGGGTGAGTAACCCGAGGGGAGGTCACATTTGCTGGACCCCTGCAAAGCGGACAGGTCTCTTTCAGCCTTCTTCCTACTCATGGCTCCCCTTCCAGTTCTCAGAGGTTAATGCTTTTCCCTTCATTAGTCATCACTGAACCCATCATACGGCATGGCCAGGGCTGGCTTTAACATGCCCACGAGATGCATTCCCTCTACACTTGTGCACGCAGGACTCTATGTGCTCGCCTGTGGCTGCTGCTTCTGGGGTTGCCATGACCCTTCGTGCTCCTCCCCAACTTCTGGAGCCAGAGGGCCCACTCCAACTGGTGAAGGCCGTGTTCTAGACCCCTCTCTTCCCTCAGATGCAAGTGATATTGGCCTCCTTTCCTCAGGGCTTCCTTCTTCCAATTGCCCATTTTTCTTTGTAAAACAAATCTAAGCCAGGTCCCTTTCAGACACAGCGGGAGCCAGCTGGCATGGGGCCACATCCAGGTGACAATGGACCAGCTGTGTTGCTAGTGATGAATGGGCCTGCTCTGGCTTTGTTGGCAGGATGGCAGCCCCTCTGCACCTTGCACGCTGGCTGGTTCACTCTTAACTCCTTACCCAGCTGAAAGTGAATGGGCGGCTAGACCAAGAGGAGTTTGCGCGACTGTGGAAGCGCCTTGTTCACTACCAGGTACGGGCACATTCTCTGTGACTAGCACTCTCATTCTGTCCAGTTAGCAAGGATTTACTGGGTGTCTAACCCTGCACCAGGGTTCAGGGGTATGAAAGAAGAGGAACTCTCACCCCTGCCCTCAAGGAGAGCTCACATGTTGTTTGGGGAGACATAGTGCAACTCCAAAAGGCACAAGGCAATGCCTAATTAGGTGGCGGAATGAGGGATGCGTTGGAGGTGGGAGGAGAATGCTGTCTCTGTAAGCTAAAGCTACCTGCTAGCATCTGCCCCCACCCCCGCCCCTGCATCCACTGCAACACCTGCTAGCTTATCTCATTCCCGTCCAATCCACCTGCCAGAGGATCTGTCGAAAACATAGATGTGGCCTGAGGCCTCAATGTGGCCTCCCCATTGTTCCTAGGACAAAGTCTAAGCCCTCAGAGTGGCACGCAAGACCCTCTAAGTGGGTCCCTATTTGGGGCCCAGGAGAAGCCCTTTCCACTCATCCCACTCTCTCCTTTAGACTCCAATACAAGTCTAAAGGAGATTCACTATTTCCTGTAAACGTCACACCTGTGCCCCTTCAGCCTGCCCCTCCTGCCTCTCCCCTCCCTGCACCCTGAGACTGGCCAGTGCCCACCTACCCTTCATACTTCAGAATTTTTCTTGTAATATGTATACCCACACATGCCAAATAGAAGTATAATCTGTTTTTAAAAACTAATAAATGCCAATAAATACATCAAATGTCTAGCCATGTCACTAAATATTTTCATAACATGTTTAAAGGCTGAAAAAAAGTGTTCCTGTGTGGCTATTTCAGTATATATCCCCGGATCCCCGACTAGGGGTCACTTGGTTTCTCATTTCATTGCAGGGCACTGCGACGGCTGGCATGTCCACTCCCCTGGGTCCCCCGGGGCAAGGGTCCCTCATATCCATCTTTCCCCAGAGCCTCCCTAGTGGCTAAAACACAGCAGGGGTTCAAAATGCTGAATCAATGACTGAAGAAATTCCGAATGAACGAATGAATTCCTGAGAACAGTCTAGGTCTGTCCTTGCACTCACCAAAAGCCGAATAAGGCCCCCAAAAAGCTGTCCAGCTGCTATTTTGCAACAGTTGTCTCCCATGGTTGGCCTCAGTCACATGCCTGTGTGTGGGTACTTTGCTTTGGAGTAGCTCCTGGGGACAGCTAGGCATAGACCCAAATTAGAGTCCTGAGTTCAGTCCTGCAGCACTTACACACCTCATCCAAGGCAAAATGTTCCCTGCCTGAGTATCAGTGTCCTCATCTGTGAAGTACGATGTTGACCAGGATTATACAGAGAATTGGATAGAGGTAGAAAAGGCCTGGGTGGGTGCAAGAGCCGCCCCATACAAAAGTGATATGTTCCGGTTGCCACCTTCTGCCCCTGTGCTGGGCTCCAGGAAGCAATTCTAACCTGCTTTCAATATTTTCTATAGACCATTCACTAATGTGCAAAGCACTCCCTCAAGCACTTTATAAATATTTAGTCATTTACTCCCTGCAACAAACCTGTGAGGTAGGCACTGTAATTAGCCCTTTGCTACAGATGAGGAAACTGAGGCCTAGGAAGATTAAGTCATGGCCAAAGGTAATACAGCTGGTAAATAGTCCACGATTTAAGCCCTAGCAGTTTGGTTGTAAAGCCTGTGCTCTTAACCACTACCCTACGCAAACTCTTTGGAGAGCCCTACACTCCCCTCAAAAGTAGAAAACTGCCCTATGTGTCAGGGCCCAGTCTGGGGGCACAGAAGAGGAAGGAGCATGGGTGAGGAGGGAAGCAGCCACAGCCCCTCAGCGGGCAGCCAGGATGGTCAGTTCACCAGGTGTGGCCACTGTGTCCTCCCAGTCCTCAGTGCTGTGACCGTGCCTTCCTCTGAGGTTTAGGGAAGCAAGCTCCCAGGATGGAAAAGGAGTATCCAGACCTTCCCAGTCTTCACACAGACTTCTTGCTTCTCTTCCCCTATTAGCATGTTTTCCAGAAGGTTCAGACAAGCCCTGGAGTCCTCCTGAGCTCGGACTTGTGGAAGGCCATAGAGAATACAGGTACAATGGGGACTTTGGAGCTGTGGTGCCCAAGGTCCGGGGAGGGGGGTGATGCCCACACCCCTAGTAGCAAGGCTGGCACAACAGTGCCAGGCAATCAGGAGAGAGGAGCGCTGCAGCTCTCGTGTCCTCCCCAGTTCACACTGACCCTGGGGGGCCTCCACGGTTGCAGACTCAAACACAGTTGCCCTGTCTGAGTTCTCACGTGCCATTCAATTTTCCCAGATGTCTTTCCTCCCCAGCACAGCTCTAATTGTGAGAAAATAGCCGTTGCGTGATTGATACCCTATCAGGAATCGAGCTCGCCTTGGAGACGCGCTTCCAGCTCAGTATCTGGGCCATCAGGGTTAAATACCCACAGGCTAGCTGATGATCGCTCTCTCTCTTCACAGAGAGTTTGGGGCTAAATTAAATCAAATGGCATCTGTCTGCTTCAAGTAGGCAAAGGCTTTCAGCCCTGGGATAATGAGAATAATTCCTTAGGGTGCATAAGTTCTCCATGGTTCACCAAGCACTTCTGTTCGCGTCATCTCCTTTGACTGTCTCAACTACCCTGCAAACTGGGAAGGGCAGGAATCATTACCTCTACTGTCCCAATGGGGAAAATGGGTGACAAAAAAAGTTGCACAAGGAAATGGCTACCTTCCTTTAATAAAATGTAAAATCACATTTCCCCGGGTTAACACTGGAAGGATAGTCTCCATCATCCTCCCTTCTGTGGATCCTGGCCTGGAGACAGGGCAGAAAGATCAGACCGTTGCCCCCACCTGTAGCCTGGATCCTCCCCTTAATGCTTCATAATGTGGAACTGGGACTCTTCAGGGCTCGTTAAAGCACAGATTGCTGCACCTCTGATCAGGGGGTGTGGGTGGGGCTCAGGAATTTGCATTTCTAACAAGCTCCCAGGGGATGCTCATGCCCCTGGTCTGGGGACCACACTTTAAGAATCCATTAAAGATGAAATCTTTTAGAAAGACCTCACACATGACTCCAGAATAATAAAAGAGAAAAAAGTAGAAAATTGTTCAAATTCAATTCAGTAAGCCTTCAGCAGCCAGGCAAGTAAGTGAAAGGGGTGATGGAGCTCACAGTCAGAAAACAGGTGACTGAGAACAGGACCTGGCTTATCTAAAGGCATTCGAGTTCATGTTTTATTAACTCCGCTAGAGAAACCTCCTGTGTCTCTGGCTGCCGGAGGCTCATGGGCCACCAGGCTTGTCCCCATGATGGATGGTTTGGCTTGCAGGGTTCTGCTTGCTCTCTTAAGTCTTGCAAAGCCTGACTATGTGCCAGTGTGCACTTGGCCCCTGTGAGGTCGGTGCCTCCCTGGAGCTTATAACTAGAAGCACAGGATGACAAGGCGCTGAGCTCCTGCCTGCCTGAGGCCACCTTCTGCATTCTGCTCTCCCGCCAAGGGTCAGTCTTTTCCCTGGATGGACTTAGGACTGCATCTCCTTCTGCCAGGGGCCACTCCCACCTACACTAGCAGCATCCATAAACAATCCACCTACAGTCATGGGTGGGGAGGAAGGTTGTGAAGGTCATCAGCAAGGAGAAGTTTGACAGAGGCAGAGCTAGAAGCAACCCCCAGGTGTCCCAGCAGCTCTCCCATTACGTGGGAATGATCAGATGATTGTGAAGGCCAATGTATCTCCAGAGCAGGGTCTTCAGCATCTTCACGTGGTCTCTGGCCAGACTCCAGAACTAGGTTCCTGGGGCCTAACAACCAACAGGAAAGAGAAGACACTGAAGGGAGGGGGCTGAGTGGGAGGAGTTGGTGGGAGGTGGCCGGGCCCTCTGAACAGGTGTCTCAGACCCTGAGAGGCAGAGGAACCCCCGAGCCCTAGCCTCCTCTCACTCACTCGTTCACCTGTGGCCCCAGACTTCCTCAGAGGGATCTTCATCAGCCGTGAGCTGCTGCATCTGGTGACCCTCAGGTACAGCGACAGCGTCGGCAGGGTCAGCTTCCCCAGCCTGGTCTGCTTCCTGATGCGGCTTGAAGCCATGGCAAGTAAGTGTCCCCAAGGGGCATCCCAGAGACCTTGGCAGTGACCGAAGAACACAGGAGAGGACCGGACACCCCCTACCCCACCCCAGGTCTGCGTGAGGCCTCAGCAGCAGGGTGGGCCAGCAGCCTGTGTGAGGTGCCAACCGAGGCTGTAGATGGTGTGACCAGCTCCCTCCGCACCCCCCTCTCCCCTGTAGTTCCCCATCGCAGGTCTCTTTTCCTCATCACCCTGACCAGCCCCTCTCTCAGGAACAAGGTTAACGCTGTCCCCGTCTCCAGGTTGTGTTTATCATTGAAACCTGCTCTTCAGTTATGTAATGAAGGATTTTGGTCTTTGCTGCAGGAATTTCACACACAAGTGAATAAGTAGGGGCAGGAGGTCCCTCCCCAGGCTTCAGAAATCCAACTGTGTGGGCCGAAGTTTCCACACTTTTTAGCAGCATCACCCTTTGTTTTTAATGAAATCTAGTGTGAAACCCCGAGCCACAGTCGGGCCACAGTGGGGCCACCATGATTGCAGGAGAGAGGCCAGACCCCTCCCCACTCATAATCCTCTCACCGCCATGCCACGAGGCACTGCTGCAAAGCCTGCAGCTCTGAGCTGGGCAAAAAGATTGAGACACTAAGGCTCTGGGAGGGTAAAAGAGAAGCCTGAGGTACAAGCCTTGGCCCCCACACAGTTCTCGGTTGCACAGGGAAGGTCCCCAAATTGTATCACTGAAAGAATGACAAGCCCTCACATCCCCACAGCCTAGTGTGGATGGATGCAGGGGCAGGGAGTGCAAGGAAGCTGGGAAAGGGAGAGGCGTGTGGGCAGAGCAGGCACACAGCCCCTCTGAGGAGGTGAGCCCTGAGCCACTCGCCCCGTGCAGAGCTCGGCTAGACAGAGAAAAGGATGGGTGACAGGCACACCCCGCGGAGCAGGAGGGGCTGCTTTACAGAATCACCTCCTGTGCTTCTTATGGGCCCAGGCCTGCCTCCCCTGAACTGCCTGGATTCCTTCCTCCTCAGTCAGTCAAAACCTTCCCTTCTTTATCCTAGAGACCTTCCGCAACCTCTCTAAGGATGGAAAAGGACTCTACCTGACAGAAATGGAGGTGAGGTACCTTCCCCTCCCCGGGGCAGGCACAGTCCCAGGCTGCCTCCCCTGACTTGATTCCAGAGGGCATTTTTCTCCCTGAGGATATTGAACGGTCTGTCAAAGGCCAGCCAAGCTGTCCCCCCAACCTCCAATTACTGCCTTATATATCGCTGGCCGCCAGGCTGCTTTAGGATCTTGGCAGACAGATTTTATTTTTTTCCAATAGCTTAATAAAGCAGAGGATTATGTGGGAGTCATAAATCCAGGAGGGAACAGAAGGACAGCCCGCTGAGCTCACTGTACATTAAACTTATTCCCATTGAGTTTTAGAGGCTCCTGACCAGCCAGCTGGTAGACCTAAGATATATACGTCTCACTGCCTGGTTATTCAGGGAGTAGCAGAAGATGTGCTGTGAGACAACCCCGCCCCGTACCCTGCTTGGGTTGGAATTAGCTGGAAGGGGTGATGAGACTGGACTGAGGTCTTCCGAGGGAGGAGGGTGGCATTTGCCCTGCTCTGTATTAAGCTAACAAGTGTAAAGAATTGTTGTAATGATGATGCTTATTTTTCAGTGGATGAGCCTGGTCATGTACAACTGAAGCAAAGAGGAAAGCAGACCCATGGCTCAGGTAAGACATGGTAGCTTTGGAGTCTTTCCCTCCTGGGAGCATGAGTCCTCCTTCCCCTCTAAGAACTGCACATAAGACTCTCTCCTTGGGAGAGCCTCCCCAGGGATGACAGACCCTTACATAAGTGAACCAAGGCTTAGCTGCTCAAGGCCCTTGAGTTTCAAGGCCAATGCTGCAGATTTCATGCAGACAATGTAGACCAATGGACCTTTATGGAAAGGCATGGCTTGAAAGGCATGAATGAGGGTTTAGAATCCTTCACTGCAGTTCGAAAGAAAAAAAGTATCTCTCATCACGGGAAGGGCAAGAGAAATGGTGGAAATGGAATGGTGTAGAGCAACAGAAATGGTAGAAATGGTCAGGCCTTAGGGAGAGAAGAGCGGGCTCTAGCCCCAGCTGTACCATTGTCTCACTGTGCAGCTTTGGACAGATGATGAACATCTGTAGGCATCAGTGTTTATCCCTCTAGCATGAGTGTGCTGAAGAATTAACACTCACGTCATTTCCTCTACATTTTTTTTCATGAAACAGACCCTAGAGTTACATAGTCCACACCCTAACCCTGCTGTAGCAGAAGCCCCATCAGTCTTCTAGAATTCTTTAGGACAGGGGAGCTCAAGATGTTGTGGTTCCCATTGTTGGACATCTCCGAGTGTTAGGTATTCCTTAGCTAGAGGCAATCATCTACTTCCCTGAAACTTTCTACTCATGCTTCTGGCTCTACTCTCTGGACCACTGTAGAAAAAAATACTGGACATGCAAGACCTACAAATATTTGAGGATACCTTTGCTATTTTGCCCAAAGCCTGTCTTCTTTAATTATTCATGTTGGTTTTCATCCAGACCTCCTGGTGACCATTCTCTATGTGCCAATATACCTTCGAAGTATACAGTTCTTCACGCAGCCGACCTGTGATCAATATCACCTAAAACTCGATTGTTTTGGTAAACAGTATTTAATCTCCCATTCATGTACCTTGAAGTCAAGAGACAGACACTGTCTCCATAAATAATGTTGTAGCATAAATATTTCCTGATGAACGCTTGATGCTTTCTAATGATCGCAAATGAATACTGCAGAGATCATAGTTAATTTGACCCAATCATATTTCCTTGAGTTCTCCTTTCACTCCTTTTTAAAAACAGAACATTTGATTATTTTCAGTTTTATTGTGTCTGTTCCAATCTGCATGACTTCTAATATCAAAAATGATTCTTCAATTGTATATTTAAGCTAATTTGATACACAGGGCCTAAAGGCTTAAACTTTCAAAGTAACTGGATTCTCTCTTACTACCTTTTCTCCGTACAGGGTCGCGATTCCCTCTTAACTAATGTTTCCACCCTTCCTATTTTTAAACAATGTGTCAGAAGGAAGGATAATATTAGAGGCATTGTCGTGTTTACTTCAGTTTCTTTCACTAATGCCTATCATCAGCCACAGGAGCGCTTCCCTAGCTTCCTCATTAATCACCACCCTCTGGTATCACATCATTAAAGCACTTCCACTCACTCTTGGCTTGTGGTTTGCTTTACAGAATTGGAGGCAGGAGGGTGAAGAAGTTCTGCCTGCAAATCTACAAACCCACCTTCCTCTGTAACTATCTCCCCACTTCTTCCTCATTATCCTTCACCTTCTCAAGGGCCTGATTGAATGAATTCTCTCTTCTGTCTTCTGAATACTAAACCTGTCTCTGTCTTCTGGAGTCATTTAACTCCCATTTAAAAATGTGTATCTTTTAAATTTCTTCATCTCCTACCCCTTCCAGCTAAACTCCACCTGTTTCCTCTCATTGCAACCAAATTTCATGGAAGAGCTCATTGTCTACATATTCTCACTTCCCACTCTCCCTGCTAACTGCTTCAGTTGAGATTTCTTTGACATCATCTCTCTCCCTGACTTTGGCATGGCCTCCCTATCTGATTTTCCTATATCTACTCATATCCCTCAAATCAATTTCCGGCAGCTGGACTACACTTTTTAAAATTCAAATCCAATCATTACATTCTCCAGGCTTAAAAACGCTTCAATGTCCTCCCATTGCTCACAGGAAAAATCTGGCATCATTAACATGGACCACAGGAGCCTGTCTCCTCTGGACC